>NT_187378.1:0-38115 GCF_000001405.40 Homo sapiens
CAAAAGTCAATGTACAAAAATTGGTAGCGTTTTTATACACTAATGATGATCAAGCTGAGAACTGAATTAAAAAGTCACTTCCTTTTACAATAGCTACAAAAAAGGTAAAATGCTTAGAAATACAATTAGTCAAAAAGATGAACAATCCCTACAAGGAAAACTACAAAACACTGATGAAAGAAGTTGTACATGACACAAATGAGAAAAACATCCCATGCTCATGGATTGGAAGAATTATGATCGTTAAAATGACTCTACTGCCCAAAGCAATCTACATATTAAATGCAATTCCTACCAAAATGCCAATGTTATTTTTTATAAAATTAGAAAAAAAAACACTAAAATTCACATGGAACCACAAAAAGAGCCTGAATAGCCAAAGTAAATCTAAGCAAAGAGAATAAAGCTGGAGATATTACATTATCTGACTTAAAATTATGCTAGAAGGCTGTAGTAACCAAAACAGCATGGTACTGATATAAATTGACACAAAGATCAATGGTACAGAATAGAGAACCTAGAAATAAAGCCACATACCTACAAACAACTGATCTTTTACAAAGTCAACAAAAACATACACTGGAGAAATGACATCCTATTCAATAAATTGTGCTGGAAAAATTATATTGCCATATGCAGAAGTACGGAATGGGACCCCCATGTTCCACCATATACAAAAATCAACTCAATATGTGTTAAAAAACTAAAATGCAAGACCTGAAACTATAAACATGCTAGAAGAAACTCTAGAATAAACTCTTCTAGACATTGACTTGAACAAAGAATTTATTACTAAGATCTCAAAAGCAGATGTAACAATAACAAAAATAGACAAAAGGAACTCAAACTAAAAAGCTCCTGAAAATGAGCTTTTTAATTAACACAGTGAAAAGAAAACCTATGAAATAAGATAAACGTTTACAAGTTTCGCATGTGACAAAGATCTAATGTCCAGAATATACAAGGAACTCAAACAGCTCAACAAAAATAAAACAAGTAACCTCATTAAAAAGCAAGCAAAGAACATGAACATTAAAAAAA
Organism: Homo sapiens; assembly: GCF_000001405.40. Taxonomy (NCBI): domain Eukaryota; kingdom Metazoa; phylum Chordata; class Mammalia; order Primates; family Hominidae; genus Homo; species Homo sapiens. Next base: position 1,042 of record NT_187378.1, read on the forward strand.
AAGACACTGAAGGTCAATGGTCAACAAGTACGTAAAAGGTGCTCAACATTGTCAATGATCAGAGAAATGCCAATTAAAAACCACAATGAGATACCAACTTACACCATGCCGAATGGCTATTACTAAAAAGAAGAAAAATGAGCTATCGGCAAGGATACAGAGAAAAGATAACATTTATACACTGTCTGTGGGAAAGTAACTTTCTACAATCTCTATGGAAAACAGTATGGAGATTTCAAAATAGACTAAAAATAGAACTTCCATTTGATTCAGCATTCCCACTACTTGGTATCTACCCAGGGGAAAATAATTTGTTACATAAAGAAAATACCCATGCTCACATGTTTATCACAACACTATTCACAATAGCCAATACATGAAATCAATTTAAATTTATCAATCAATAATCGAATGAAGAAAATGTGTTATACAAGTATACCAAGGAATGCTACTCAACCATGAAGAAGAATAAAATCATGTCTTTTGCAACAACATGAATAAAACCAGAGGCCATTACTGTAAGTGAAAAACCTCAGAAACAGAAAATCTAATCTGTATTTTCTCACTTGCAAGTGTGAACTCAATTATGCATATGCTTGGATATAGAGACTGGAAAAATAGACACTGGAGACTCAGAAAGATGGGAGGTTGGAGAGGGTTTAGGAATGAGAAAATAACTAATGGGGACAATAAACAACATTCAGATGATTGTCACACCAAAAGCCCATACTTCATCCCTATGCAACATGCATCTGTAAGGGAGCTGCATTTGTACTCTCTAACGTATTAATAAAGAGATTTAGAAAAAGAGACCTGGCGTGGTGGCTCAAGCCTATAATCCCAGCACTTTGGGAGGCTGAGGTGGGCGGACCACGTTGTCAGGAGTTCAAGACCAGCCTGGCCAATATAGTGAAACCCTGTCTCTACTAAAAATACAAAAATTAGCCGGGCATGGTGGAGCATGCCTGTAGTCCCAGCTACTCAGGAGACTAAGGAAGGAGAATCACCTGAACCCGGGAAGCAGAGGTTGTGGTGAGCTGAGATTGTGTCACTGCACTCCAGCCTGGGAAACAGAGAGACTCCGTCTCAAAAAAAAAGAGAGAAAAAAAAACTTTGGCTTTTATCAGAGGACAAACTGAATAGACCTCATAATTTTCATAAATAATTAGATTAGGCAAAAAAATTTTAACAAAAATAAATAAAAAATAATATTGTATTTTAAGAATGGTATAGAAAGATAATTTGATGAATTAGAGTAGTTAGTACTTAGCACATAAAATATGTTAGGCAAGATTCTAAGCCACTTAGACCTTTATGTACAGAATATGTAACAGAGTAAAATAAATAACACAAAGATTCATTGACAATGACAAATTGACATAATTTCAATCATATTAGATGATATTAAAACCATTAACAAATTTACTGCTTTGTTTCATAATTAAAAAGAATGCTAAATAACTTCATTAAAAAGTTTGACTAATTAGGCATATAGATAAATGGGCAGGATTTGGACCAGAACACAGAGGATACACATTTTCAAAGACCAGACAAAATTATTTATTTATTTTTTGGGGGGAGAGAACAGTTTTATTATCTGGGGATACAATGGGGTCCTCTCCCTGGGAGGTGGGTCTTCCACTGGTTATCCCCACCAGGGCTCCAGGGGGCGCCATGAGATTCAGTACTGGGCTCCGCTGGGGGCTAGGCCTTGGAGAAGGCGAACTGTGCAGGGAAGCAGCAGCTGTGGGGTCTTCACCGCCCGCTCTGCCCAGCTGCACCCGGCCTCCTGGTGCTCCTCAGGCTCCCGCCGAGTCTGTGTCTCTGGAGGGCAGCGAACCATCCTGCCCAGAACCTTATCCTCATATTCCAGTTTGACGCAGGTCAGCCATTTCTGCTTCCTCCTCTCAGGCTGGACTTTGCACTTGGCTTTCTTCCAGTCCTTCCTCCGGCCAGTTCTCTGTCTGCCGGAGCTTAAATTCCAGCCTCACAAATGTTCCAGATGGGAAGGGCGTGTCCAGGGCGCTGTCCACACTGGTCTCCCGGAAGGCCCGCTGCACGGGTGGGTGCTTGCAGATTCCTCCAGGGTCACCTGCAGGCCCCGGCGCTGGCCCGGTGAGGTCGGCCCCTCCCGCATTCCCCGCGCCCACTCACTGGGCCAGCAAGATCCGCAGCCGTCTCAGGCTTCCCCTGTCACCCTGGCCCTGCGAAGCTGGTGTGCGCCCCTTAGTTCTCCAAGCCTGCCAGGAGCCACCTCCTCCCCTGCCCTGCCCCTGTGGGGGCCATGCCCGCAGAACGCTGGGCAGAGGCGAAGGAACCGGGAAATGTCCCTTTCTCCACACTGACCTTGGGGTGTACTGGGTCTTCTCCACTCCCTCCCACCCTGCCCGTGCTGTTCCCTGGGGCCCGCAGTTTCAGCAAATTTCCCTACCGCGCCGGGAAGCCGTCCTGTTGCTCACTCTCACCCTTCCTCGTTTTCTGGCCCATTCTCTCTCCCCACTGGGTCTCTCACAGGACCTTCTCTCCTCCCGGCTGTCCCCGGAGCCCCTCTCCGCTTCCTCAGCTCAGCCCCTTCTCTGACGGCTTCTCCCTCCCACCCCCAAGCGAATCTCCGGGCTCTCAAGGGGTGCCCCCGATCCCCGGGGCCTAGGTCAACCAGACAAAATTATTTCAAATGGGAAGATTTGAATTCCATTGAATTCATGAAAGCAGGAATCCATCTGGTCATATTTTAAATAATTTTGAAATGATAATAGCAACTATCAATTTTACCAGAATTCAGAATACCCACCATTTTACCAGAAAAAAAAAACCTGTTATAACTAAACAGCTAAGTCAGTAAATTTTCAGGATACAATATTAACATATGAACATCAGTGGCATTTTTTTACAGTAACAGCAAAATATCTGAAACAGAAATAAAGATAGTTCCATTTACAATATTATCAAATAGAATGAAATACTTAAGAATGAGTTAACAAAGAATATGAAAGATCTGCAGGCTGAAAACTATAAAATGTTGAGGAAAGAAAATGAAAAATACAAAATGGGAAATATATTATGTGTTCATGGATTCTAAAAATTAATATTATTAAAATATCCATATTACACAATGTGATCTACAGAGTTAAACTTCTATCAAAATTTTAATGCCATTTTATTAAAAATGTAGAACAACAATTTTAAAATTAGTATGGAACCACAAAAGACCTCAAATAGCCAAATACTGAGAAGAACAAAAAGGCTGAAAGCCTTTCACTTCCTGATTTCAAACTATATTACAAAGCTGTAGTCATCAATATAGTATAGTACCTACATAAAAACCAATAGAACAGAATAGAGGACCCAGAAATAAACTCACAAATATACAGTCAACCAATCCCAGAGAATGGAGAAAGGATAAACACATCAAGGAGTGGTGTAGGAAAAACTAGATATGCACAGAAAAAAGTGAACCTTTCTCTCATGTCATCACAAAATGAATTTGAAATGAAATAAAGACTTAAACATAAGAACTGAAATCATGAATCCTCTTAAAAAAATGGGGAAAAACCTTGACACTGGTCATGGCAATGATGTTTTGGATATGACACCAAGAACACAGTCAACAAAAGCAAAAATGAACAAGTGGAACTATGTCAAAGTTAAAACTTTCTGCACAACAAAGGAAACAATCAGCAAAATATAGGAAATGGGAGAAAATATTTGTAAACCATATATAGGGTAATATGTTACTATCCAAAATATACATCATACTAATCAATACAAAAAACCCACAGCAGAATTAAAAGCAATTTCTTGATTAATAATTGGGCAAAATATATAAATAGCAATTTTTCCAAAGATATACAAATGGCCAACAGGTATATAAAAAATGCTCGACATCACTAATTTTCAGAGTAATTAAAAACAAAATCACAATGAGGTATCACCTTATCGTGGTGTTTGGATGCCTATTATCAAAAAGTCAAAAGATAAAAAGTGTTAGGGTGTGGAAAAAGAGAACACTTGTGCACTGTTGCTGAGGATGTCAATTGGTGCAGCTATTATGAAAAACAGTATGGAGATTCCTTAAAATTTTTAAACTAGAACTACCACTAATCCCAATTAGGAGTATATAGCCAAAGTACATAAAATCAGGATCATCAAGGGTATCTGCACTCCTCTGATACAGATAAACTGAGACATACATAATTTCAGCTTTAATAAAAATGAAACTCATCCACAACAATATTGATTAATCTTGAAGACATTATGCTAAGTGAAATAAGCCGAATACAGAAAGACAACTACTGCATGATCTCGTTTGTATGTAAAATCTAAAAAAGTAAATAAAAATTTAAAAAAAGCCATGGAAACCGTAGAACTGTGCTTCCCATGGGCTAGGAAGTGGGGAAAGTGGGGAGATATCCATGGAAGGGGCACACCTTCAGTTACAAGGTGAGTAACTGCTGGGGACCTAATGTACAGAATAGTGACTATAGTTAACAATACTCCGTACTTGAAATTTGCTACAAGAGTAGATCTCAGGTGCTCTCACCACACACACAGGAACGTATTAACTATGTGAGGGGATAGATAGGCTAACTAGCTTAACTGAGGTAATTTAAAGACTACTGACATCTCAAAACACTCTATTGTACACCCTAAAAATATACGCTTTTCAATTAGTCAATCATAGCTCAACGAATGGAGAAAAAAATAAGAGTAACCAGCAGGTCATAGCTAGCCACATGGAAACTCAATTTAAAACACACTTGGCCACTGTTTCCAGCTCAACTCGGGAACGGCCGGAGCACTTCTGGCCCCTGGACTTCGACGCTCCTCCTGCGGCCCCCGTGGCTGGGGAAGGTACAGTCGTTCCCAGGATTCCAGGCACGCAGATCCGGCAGGGCCATCACCGTTCCCTTGCTCTTGCCGCAGCCCCGTTAGGCTCTGCGTTTCGGGGCCTCCTGGCCGGGGAGGCTGCCTGTGGCTGCCCGCGCGCCCCTGTGGCTCCGCCGGCGCCCGCTTCGGCCCCACGCAGCCCCTCCAAGGCCGCAGCCGTCTGGCGCCCGAACTCGCGGCCTCTGCCCGTACCCGCCGCCAGCGCCTTCGCTGTGACCGCTCCTCCCCCTCCCTGAGCCCGAGCTGGCCCAGCGGAGAAGGAGGGCAGAGAAGCTGGAACCCGAACGCTGAGCTGCAGGCGGCAGGTGCGGGAACAGGAGAAGCTATGGCCTCGCACAGGACGGCTGCTCAGAGCGACACGAGCAACCACCAGGAGCTCTGCACGCAGCTGGAAGAAAAGCTCAGTAATGTACTCTGCTGTGAGAGAAATGGAGATAATAAAAGTCTGATGTAGAAGTACTCACAGAGAACCATGCTCCTTGGTCAATCTCAGATTATTATCAGATCTACTGTAATGATGTTAGTCTTCCAAATAAAGTGAGTGACTGAACTGTCAAATCAGCAAGATCAGGATATTGAAAGTCCTGCTTTGAATTCTAACGACAAGTTATAAATAAAAAATGATGCTCACCCTGGTACTGATAGGACAGCAAATGTTAAGTGTAGACAGGGTCATTTGCCACAAATTCACAGGAGCCAGCATCTGCATTAGCAGCACAAGATACGTCCTTAGAAGTTTCGTCATTAGCTGAAAGTTTGAGAGCTGCAGCAGAAGCGGCTTTATCACAGACTGGATTTAGTTATGATGAAAATACTGGACTGTATTTTGACCACAGCACTGGTTTTTATTAAGATTCTGAGAATCAAATATATTATCATTTAATTTATTACTACTGTGATGTGGAAAGTGGTCGCTATCGATTTCATTCTCGAGTAGATTTGCAACCTTATCAGACTTATAGCACAAAACAAAAATGAAAAATTGAGAAAAGAAAGGATCCAGATTCTTCTACAAAAAAACAATGAGGAAAAGGATTTGAATTCAGAGGATCAAGAAGCCTTCAGTGTTGAACATACAAGCTGCAACGGGAAAGACAATTTCACAAATGTGAAAAAAAAAAGCCAAAATAGGCATTCATCACAAAAATAATCCCCAAAATTCACTGTTCCAGTTAGTGGAAATCCTATGGAATCTCCTCTTAATGAAAACAGCTCAATTCATCTTTAAGGATGAGAAAATCACAGAGACTGCTAGTGAACCAGAAGAAGGTGAAATTACGGACTCTCAGACTGAGGGTAGTTATGATGAAGGCATTACCAGTAAAGGCAATGCAACTGCAAAAGATACTGCGGAGGAAGATGAGGAAAAATTGTGGCCCTCATATACGAGAGTAATTGTCATGAGATCACTTGTGTTACAGACAGGATCATTCTTCATCATTACTGTTGTAAAACCTGCTACAATTGGAAGAGAAAATGATATGAAGAATACTCTTCGAATCCCTGAAGTTGGTGTAAGTTTCATGCAGAAATCTGTTTTGACCATGACTTACAAAGTTATGTCCTTTTGGATCAGGCAGTCAAAATGGAACACTTGTTAATGGAAAATGGATTGTTCAGCTGAAAACTAAATGTGACCATTATGAACCTGAGCATGGAGATAAAGTGAAAGTTGGAGACACTGTGTTATCTTATTACTTTCACCCTGGCAGTAATAGCTGTGTTGGATGTGAACCAGGGCAGGTTAGAGCTCACCTTTTCCTTGATAAGAAAGATGAATCATTTGTTGGTCCATCATTAACTAAGAAGGAAACGAGTTGGAAAGAAGAAAAGGATTTTAAAAATATACGAGTAAAATATGGTTTACAGAATACAGATTACAAAGATGATAAAATACTGGAGAATCAAAAATATAAAGATAGAGCTGGAAAACATAGGGAGCAGATTGGAAGTGAAGGAAATTTCCAAAGAGATGATGCTCCTGAATCTGTTCATTCTGAAATTACTGATAGCGACAAAGGTCAGAAGATGTTGAAAAAGATGTGTTGAAAACAGGAGAAGGCCTGGGGAGGGATGGTGGGAGAATAAAATCTCCAATACAGCTTCAGCTTTGGCAAACACATGCAGGATTGGAGACAGACAAACCATCCTCAATTAAAGAGACTCACCTTCTCCAAAACAAGAACAACAACAACTGGGACAAAGCTCAGGAGAGGTTTGCTGAAAACTTTCCAGAAACTAAACTTCCAAAAGATGACCTAGGAACCATTCCTTGGGTAAAAGGGACTGAGGAGTGAAGGTTAATCACAGAAGAAAACTCAAGCTTTTTTTATAAATAGAGTTTGGAGACTCTTATTTTATTGCAGAATGTTTCTCCCCAAAAAAGTCAGTGGCATAAGAAAGCTGGGTCACAGTTTACCCCTTCCTGATTCAGAAATGTGTAATAAAATGTGGTTTGCAGCTTTAAAAAAACACTTTTTAAACTAATTATTAGTGACTGAATTAAGTTATACAGTAAGTGAACTAAAGTTCACAGGGTACAGATAAGTTTATCAAACTTTACTATTTTATCTGGTCATTTACAACATCCATATAAGCAATTAGCCATATAAGCAAAATTCATATAACCACTTAAATGCTCATTTGTCCTTGTCTCCATATATTCATAGTAGTATGCACAGAAAATACAGCAAAAGAAACATCTAAAATCTATAAAAATAAATCTGACAATGTACATTCTTTTTTATGTCCTTCAGGACCTAGATAAAAAATGTTGAGACAACATGAATAGTGATGCATACATTTTCTTATATTTGGGATAGCCTAAATCATATTAAAGAACTAATGAACAGGTGACATGTCACAGAAAATTCATCTTTTATTGTTTTCTTTGGTGAAGAATCTGCATTTGTTGATATATACTGTACATTCAGCATTTGTATTTGGTTTGTTTCATAGCTAATGAAATGTTTATACATGAAAAAATGAGTACAGTATTGAAATAGTCCATGTGCTGGCATTCATACTTTTTATAAATACCATTGCAGGCAATGAAGTTGTGCCAGAAAAATCTGATTTTGTGTACAAAAGGAATACTTAGCCAGGGCCTCGAGCTCAATATATTTATTGAAAATGTCCTAAATTGCCATAAAACATTATAACCTTAAATTACTCATTTCAATAAATTATGAATTAAACAAAAAATACAAATGATGTCTTTTATGGATCAGAGAAGTACTAATGGGGCAGAATGGCCATTGAAGCCAAAAGGTCTGAATTCAGGTAGATAATTTTACTCATATTAGTTTTATGTTAGAGAAAACAATACTTCTAACCATATACTATTTATTGCAGTGGAGTATTTCAAAAATATGTACATAATATATAATTAATTTTCTAATGGTATAAAAGTAATCACACTCTACAAATTATTACAATATGGTCTATTGATGAGAGGGGTGTTTCAAATGAAAAAAACTTGGAATTTCTCATGGTGATAGATGCCATAGAAAATCTATGTAAAATATTTCACTCATATATGCAATTATTGATATTTCTGCTTTTCAGAAAAATAATATACTTTAAACACTTAATGCAGACAATTAAAATCACCAAGAAGTTACAAGAATTCACAGAATGCCCAATATAGTTGAAAGGAAATTAAGAAAACCTCCCAGGACTGGAAGTAAATAAAGGTAATGATCCAGAGAAGTAATCAACCTAAGAGGCCAGGGCACCACTCAGACGCATCTGATTACAAGAAAGTCAAGTCCATGTGGGTTGTTCCCTTCTGACAAGGCAAATGAAATAAACAAAGAGAAACTGCCTGCAGGCATTGGAATGCGGTGTCTCCCATATATGAGGATTAAATTATAAATTATGTTGCACACAAGGAGATGAGCTACTGGGGTGAAGCATCAGAAGAAATTATATGGCACATAAATCTCAGATATTGAATTTATATTTAAATGTTTAAGTCAATATAATGGAAAAACAAGAAACCAAAATAATGTGGAAAGAAACTACGAGCTTGTCAAGCTATCTTTGGAAACGAGGCAAATGAAAAGTAAAGTATTGAAAGTGTTGTAAAAGAATTTAATGTACAACATACAAATTACATATTAAAATAGGCTGAGCCAAAAAGAGGGCTGTAAAGTGAAATGCTGATCACAATTAATGTAGTCATATATGTTATAGAAGGCAAATTAATAGAAAATATAAATATATTTATATATGAAGATTAGATTGAGAAGAAATAAAAAGCATTTAATTGTTTTACCAGACTCTCTAAATAGGAAGGCAACAAAGAATCAGTGACTCGTAAGTTTCAGAAATTGGAAACCAGACATGAAACCTTTAAAAGCTTAGGGTGTAATATATGAAAAAAAGGTAAATTAAGAAATACTTAGAAGAAATAGTGGTTTGGGTTATTTTGAATACTGCTTAATAAACATGAGAGTGCAGTTCTCTTTTTTGACGTGCTTAATTTGTTTCCTTTTGATATAAACCCAGCAATGAGATTGCTGGATCATATGGTAGTTCTATTTATAATTTATTGAAAAACCTCCATACTGTTCTCCCTATAGAAATGGGAAATGATTGTACTAACTTACATTCCTACCAACAGTGTATAAGTGCCCATCTACAGAATGAATAAAGAAAATGTTATACACACACACACACACACACACACACAGGAATAATGTTCAGTCATAAAACAGAATGAAGTTCTGTCATTTTTGTCAACATGGATGAGCCTAGAGGACATTATGTTAAGTGGAATAAGCCAGGCACAGAAAGAAAAAGACCACGTGCTTTCACTCACGTGAAATCTGAAGAAGTCCATGTCATAGAAGTAGACAGTAGGATGGTGGTTACCAGAGGTTAGTGATGGCAGAAGGATGAGGGAGTGGGGAGAGCTTTGTCACTGGGTTACAAAGTTACAGTTAGGAAGAATAAATCCTGGTGTTCTATTACACAGCACGATGACTATAGCTAATAATAATGTACCTTTTATTCTATAATAGCTTGAAGTGAGGATTTTGAACTTTATTAGCACAAGGAAATAAATGTTTGAAGTGTTAAATATGCTAATTACTCTGGTTGGATCACTGTACAGTGTATGTGGTACAGTGTGATGAAGTGAAACATCATATAATTAACATAATTGTCCACGTTTGTGGAGTACAATGTGATGTTTCACTGCATCTCACTGTACCGTGTAGTATGATGCAGCGAGACATCACGTAATTAACACATGATAGTTACATATGTTTACGGAGTACAATGTGATGTTTCACTGCATCTCACTGTACCGTGTACTATGATGCAGTGAAGCATCACGTAATTAACACATGATAGTTACATATGTTTATGGAGTACAATGTGATGTTTCACTGCATCTCACTGTACCTTGTAGTATGATGCAGTGAAGCATCACGTAATTAACACATGATAGTTACATATGTTTATGGAGTACACTGTGATGTTTCACTGCATCTCACTGTACCGTGTAGTACGATGCAGTGAAGCATCACATAATTAACACATGATAGTTACATATGTTTACAGAGTACAATGTGATGTTTCACTGCCTCTCACTGTACCGTGTAGTATGATGCAGTGAAGCATCACGTAATTAACACATGATAGTTATATATGTTTACGGAGTATGGTGTGATGTTACACTGCATCTCAGTGTACCGTGTAGTATGATGCAGTGGAACATCATATAATTAACATGTAATATAATACATGTTTACAGAGTACAATGTGATGTTTCACTGCATCACACTGTACCATATAGTATGACGCAGTGAAACATCACACTGTGCCCCATAAATATTACTGGTTCAGCAGGGAACTGTGGGACACAGAGCAGCTCCAGGTTAGCCATGACCAGCAGCTTCACCTGTGTGGGGTAGCAAGAGGGGAAGGGCCCTGTGCTTGGCTGAGAGTTGACCCCTGACCCCATCCACTTTGACTGCTAGGTGCCAGCAGAGGTCAGAGACCCCTAACTTCAGGCAGAGGCAGGAAGCAACGTCATTGCCTCTTTTTTTTGGGGGGGGGGAGAATCTCACTCTATCGCCCAGGCTGGAGTGCAGTGGTGCGATCTCGGCTCACTGCAATGTACATAGAGGTGTACGTCAGAATCACACCTGCAGGAAGCTCCCTGGGTGAGATTAACAATCCCACATAGAAGTGTACGTCAGAATCACACCTGCAGGAAGGTCTCTGGGTGAGATTAACAATCCCACGTAAGTGCCAGTTCTGGGTATGAGAGTCAAGGCCTCCTGTATGTTGGGTCCATGTACATAAGTCACAATCTCAATGGTGGAATGGATTTTTCCATGAGAGGCTTAATGCCTTTCGAAAATTGAGTTATCTTAGTGGAGTCACAGCCTCACAAGTGTTTTGGATCTTGTTCAGGGATTCACAAACCCACTTGTGGACAACATCCACTTATGAGAGCCAACTTTCCAACTTTTGACTGCCTCTGGGTGTGAGATTCAGAACCTCAATTATGGGTTGTGTCCATGTGGGAGAATGACAATTTTTACTGATGGCTGGGCTCAGGAAGGAGCCTTTCATCCTGCAGGTGTTGAGATAAATGATATGTCACAATACCCAAAATATGCCGGTGCAGGCAAAAGAGGAGAGTCATATTAGCTGGTTGCTAGGTCCAGTTATATTTCACCACCTCTGTTTTTGGCAGGGCTAAGGCAGAAGAGGAGAGTCAGAGCTAAAGAAATGTCACAATGTCCCTGTGGGTAGGGCTTATGCGTAAGAATTGCATCATCTAGTCATTGAACCCAGCCATATATTACAATACACAATGTATACAGGGCCCAGGCAAGAAATGAGAGCATATCACATAGGTACTGGGTCCAGGAATGTGTCACAATACCCCCTGAGGGGAGGCTCCAGGCAACAGGGTAACATTACCTAAGTGAAGTGCGCAGAGAGATGTTTCAATGCCCCTGGTGAGTAGGATTTTGAAAAAGGAGAAGTTACATAACCTAGGGGACAGGCCTAGCTGTGTGTCACATTCATCTCCAAGATGGAGCCCAGACATGAGAGAAAAGTCACATCATGTAGGTACTGGGCAAAGTAATATGTCATAATCCTTACTGTGAGCAGGCCCTAGGAAGAACTAGAGAGTCACATAGTCTAGATGATGGGCCCAGAGGTATTTGACAATGACTCCTGTAGGTAGGGACCATGCAGAAGAATCACTTCACCTGTGTGCTGTGCCCAGTTATAAGTCACACTTCCCTTTGTGGGCATGACTGAGGCAGGGAGAAGAGTCACATCATCCCGGTGCTTGGCCCAAAGATATGTCACAATCTCTCTTATAGGCATTGCTCATGTAAGAGAGGAGAGTCACATCAAATAGGTAGTGGACACAGAGGTATGTCACAAGGCCTTCTGTGAACTTGATCCAGGCAGAAGATTCACATCAACTTGGTGCTAAGCCCAGCAACATGTCACAATCTCTTCTGTGTAAAGGGACCAGACAGGAAAAGAGAATCACATTACCTGGCCAGTGAGCACAGAGATCTGTCACAATGCCCCTTGCAGTCAGGGCCCAGGCAGAGGAGTTACATCACCTGGGTAGTGGACCCAGCAATATACCACAGTGTCCCATATAGGCACAAGCTGGAGAGTCACATAACCTGGGTGCCAGGCCATGCTATATAGAACAATGCTTCCTGTGGGCAGGCTAAGGTGGAAGAGGAGACTCACATCACCTGGGTGCACGGTCTAGCAATATGTCAAAATGCTCACTGTGGGCAGTGCCAAGGAAGGAGAATACAGTTGCACCCTCAAGGCGGTGGATCCAGCAATATGTTAATATCCCATCTGTGGGCTGGGTCCATGCAAGAGCGTCAAGTCACTCAGGTGCTAGGCACTGGGAAATTTCATCATGAAACCTGCAGAATGGTCCGGGAATAAGATTAACAATCCCACAACTGTCACAGTTGTAGGCATGACATTCAACACCTCTTGTATGTTGGGTCTAAGCCCACAAGTAACCATCTCAACACCAGACTGGATTTGTGCATGAGAGCCTCAATTCCTCTGCAGACTGTGTCACCTTAGTGAAGTCACAGCCTCACAGTTGTGCTGAACCTTGGTCTGAGAGTCACCAACCCATGGATATATATGGACATATATATCCATATATAAGTCAATTTTTCCCACCTTTGGCTGACTACAGGTGTGAGATTCAGCACCTCAACAGTGACCTGTGTTCCTGTGAGAGGATGAGAATATTTACTGTTGGCTGGGTGTGCATATGAGTTCCACAGTCTCACCTGTGTGCTCGACCCAGTTAGCACTCTCTGTGTACTACCCAATGGCGCTATACAGTATGAATGACAGTTGCAATCAACTTTGAGACCTTCCTGCTGGTAGGGACCCATGATCATAGCTGTGGCATTAAGCCCGGGTATGAGAGTCAACGTCATTACAATTAACTAGGTCAGGATAGGGGAGTCCTCCCTTGCCTATAAGCTGCGTTTATAAATGAGCCACCATTTCATCTCTGGTTGAATATTTATACGTGAACACGGGCCTAGCACCAAGAAGATGTGAGTCTTTGGCCTAGCAGGAGGCAACGTGACATATCTCTCTGCCTAACAACTATTTGATGTGAACTGCTTTTTCACCTGAGGTTTTCCCATAAAAGAGACGTGATATATGTCTAGACCCAGAACCTAGGTGATGTGGCTTTCCTTTTTTGACTAAGCCCTGTGTATTTTGGGTATTCTGACATATCCCTGCACCTAACATCTGGAAGATAAGAAGATCCAGCATGGGCCCTGCCTAAAAAGTTTTTGTGACATATTTCTACATTAGTACCTTGGAGATGTGACTCTCCTCTCTTTCCTGGGCTTTGCCCATAAGAGATATTGTTATGTACCTCTGCAGCAAGCACCTAAATGCTGTGACTCTTCTTTCTTGCCTGGGTCGTTCCCACAGATGAAAGCTTGGTTTATCGCTGTATCCAGCACAACTGTTATGTGATTATTCTGCCTGATCTCTGCTCACAGGAGCCATTGTGACATATCCCTGGGCCATAAACTAATATGACTCTCCTCTATCCCCTTAACTTTGTGCATAGGATAAATTGTGATGTATCTCTGGGTCCAGCACCTAGGTGATGTGACTCCTTTTCTGCATGGACTATGCCCACAGGAAGGAGGCTGATTTATTGCTGTGTTGAGAGCTGATGTAATACCTCGGTCCTTGTCTTCTTAGTTTATAATAGTTTAAACAAGAGACACACAGAAAAGAAGTACAGCATAATTTATTGGAAAAGAAAACAAATTTGAAAGTTAAGTGCAGAATACAGTACACCATGAGAGAGATATTCCAGGGCGGGCTGCTCATAAGAGTGAGACAGCGTGGATTGTCGCTGGAGAAACCCCCTTATGGGAGTTTTATATTATTATTAATAATGAGGGGGGAAGAGGAGCTGCTAGTAAGCCTGTTCTGAGTGGTCTTCTGGGTGCACATGTGCAGTAGTTGTACATGCTTACTCATATTTTGCATGTCTCATTAGCATCTTAGACCTCTAGCCAGGAGTGTATTTTTGTTTGTTTGCTTGAGACAGAGTCTCGCTCTGTTGCCCAGGCTGAAGTGTGGTGGTGCAATCTCTGCTCACTGCAACCTCTCCCTCCCAAGTTCAAGCCATTCTCGTGCCTCAGCCTCCTGAGTAGCTGGGATTACAGGCATGCACCACCATACCTGGCTAATTTTTGTATTTTTAGTTGAGATGGGCTTTCACTATGTTGGCCAGTCTAATCTTGAGCTTCTGGTTTCAAGTGATCCATTCTTCTCAGCCTCCCAAAGTGCTGGGAGTACAGGTGTGAGCCACCGTGCCCAGCTGGGGGGTGTACTTTTGCTATTAAAATAAGCAAAAGTTAAGTTTGAGGACAGGTAAAATCAAAATGCACATGCTCTCTAGAACAGAAAGTTCTTAATGAAGATAGCTTTGCTTGAATGAGCCCAATTACAATGCGAATGCTAAGGCTCATTGTCTTGGCTGTACAGTTACCACAGTTTCAATGAAGGGTTGGCCTGCCCCTCCACACCTGTGGGTGTTTCTCATCAGGTGGAATGAGAGACTGAGAAAAGAAAGAGACACAGAGACAAAGTATAGAGAAAGAAAAGTGAGCCCAGGGGACTGGCGCTCAGCATACAGAGGACCCACGCTGGCACTGGTCTGAGATCCCTCAGTATTTATTGATCACTATTTCTACCATCTTGGAGAGGGGGATGTGGCAGGACAATAGGGTAATAGTGGGGAGAGGGTCAGCAGGAAAACATGTGAACAAATGTCTCTGTGTCATAAACAAAGTTAGAAAAGGTGCTGTGCCTTGATGTGCATGTATACAAACATCTCGGTGCATTAAAAACAGTATTGCCATCAGCATGTCTCAACTCCAGCCCTAAGGCAGTTTTCTCCTATCTCAGTAAATAGAACATACAATCAGGTGTTACAGCGAGATATTCCATTGCCCAAGGATGAGCAGGAGACAGATGCCTTCCTCTTATCTCAGCTGCAAATAGGCCTTCTTCTTTTACTAATCCTCCTCAGCACAGACCCTTTATGGGTGTCGGGCTGGGGGATGGTCAAGTCTCGACCTTCCCAGGAGGCCATATTTCAGACTATCACATGGGGAGAAACCTTGGACAATACCTGGCTTTCCTAGGCACAGGTCCCTGCGGCCTTCCACAGTGTATTGTGTCCCTGGGTACTTGAGATTAGAGAGTGGTGATGAATTTTAACAAGCATACTGCCTTCAAGCACTTTTTTAACAAAGCACATTCTGCATAGCCCTAAATCCATTAAACCTTGAGTTGACACAGCACAAGTCTCTGTGAGCACAGGTTTGGGGCTAGGGTTACAGATTAACAGCATCTCAAGGCAGAAGAATTTTTCTTACTAGAGAGCAAAATGGAGTCTCTTATGTCTACTTCTTTCTACATAGACACAGTAACAGTCTGATCTCTCTTTCTTTTCCCCACATTTCTGTATCCAGAGATCATGGTCATTTTCTTGACTACCTATTCTGATCTATTCTGCCTCAGTTTCCCCCTAAGAGATCTTAGGGTCATAATCATATTGGAGGTTGAGGGGCTAGGTCACTTTTTCTGGAGCTGTTTCCTGCTGAGTGGGTGTTATTTCTGCCTAGTCTGGGCCCTAAAGTTTCTTCCTGTGTGATCTAAGTGGCTGTAAACCATGTAATTCGTGGAACCAGTGGGCAAGATTTTGGCAGCCAAATGTTGAAAGCCTTGCAAAACCATCATGCAAACATGGAGTTGCCGTAAGCAAGAGAGCAAGAAATCAGTTAACATTTTAAACAAAATTGGAAAAAAAGTAAAAGCTGAAAGTATAGTAATGGCTGTTACTATTAAAGAGATTAAGGCAGGTAATAGACATTGCTTTCATGGTCCCATGGAAGTTCCTAGAGATTCAATTTTGTCTGCCTGGGTGATGATATTATTAATATTTTCTTGGACTAAACCGGGCTGATCGATCTCAAAAACAGCATTCTTCTTTTGGATATAAACATGTTCCTCTTTGCCCGGCTGGGACAATATCCCAGGCTTTTTGCTTTTGTCGTACTACAGTGGCCATGGAGTCCAGACGTTGTTGAAGTCTATTGAGGCCCTCTGCTGCTTGTTGTGGACCCATTGAGGTTTTCTGAGATAGTTTATACTGGATTCCCAAGGCTCCACCTTATGGTGACATTTATGCTGCAAAAGTATTTTGCATTAAATGGTGAAAGCAACAAACGTTTTAAGTATTTTCTATTTTTTGCTAATAAGCAAAATTTTGTGCAGCTAAGTTGGCAGCAGTCATTCGGTTCGTTTATGGATGGTGAAGTTGAATGGTGGTCAAAGTTAGAGCCTGGAAGCCTTCAGTAAATGCGCTGAAGTTGTCTGAGGGCCATCAAAGTTGTTGCTTATATTGGATTAGATCATTTATTGAGAGTAGAACAAGCACTCTGATGGTCCTCTCTCAATTTGGGACTTACTTTAAGGGGAGCAATTTCTCTGGCCCTGGATCGTGTGAAGTCCCACTGTGAGTAACTGCAGCTGGGCTGGTCTCTATTGTACCTGGCAAAGGCCGATAGAAAGGAGCATAAGGAGGAGGTGAAACAAGCTTAGATTCTACAGAAGACTCTGATAGTATTGGGATGCTGGGGATTCTAAAGGAGGTGTGGACCCCTGAGTGCCCCTGTCTGGAGCTGGTGTTGGGCTGTGGGGTCTGGGGTCCCTTCCCCTTAATAAGAGATGATCTTCCAATTGTTCTGAGGGGCTTTCTGGCTTACTAGGCTTTAGCCCACAGGTGCTGCATAGAGCTGGATTTTGTTGTCAGGCCAGAACGGCTTGCACATAGGATACTTCAGACCATTTTCCCTGATTACTACAGAAAACATCTAGCTGTAGGATGGAGTTAAAGTTCACAGTCTCATTCTCCAGCCATGTTTTGTCAGCTAATCTGTAGGCAGGCCAAACAGTGTTACAAAAGAAGGTAAGGTTTTCTTTTTTCTAAGTTCATTTAGCCAAAAGCTGTTCTAATTTTTAGATATACATCCCAGGGGTGTTTCAGTGACAGTAGAGGAAGCGGCTCCCATGGTGCCGAGAGAATCCTGCAATGACACAACATTTACTGAAGTCCAGGAGGCTGTGGGCGTCCTCATGAGGCAACTGAAAACACCAAGGGGTTCAGCGCATCCCCTCGAAACCCCATTAACTGAAGCTCTAGGAGGTCATAGGCATTTGCCATACACCGTCCTAGCTCCCCCCAGCGGTGGACAGCTCCAGCCCTACGGAGATGACCCCCACTGCGGGCTGGGGGGCAGATGTCTGGCTGACAAGTCTTGCCCTAATTCACTGGTTTGCCATTCTTGATGCCTAATTACAACACCTGGAATGCTCAGATGCAATCCCTACGACTGGGCATCTACATGACTGTGCATCTTTTGTTCAGCAAAGAAAGCCGGTTGAAGAACAATTTCAAGGAGCTGGGAAATGCATAAAGCCTGAAGGGACAGGGTTCTCTTAATGTGATGCTCAAAGCAAAACAAAAATTTTGTAAACAGAAAACCTGACCAGAAAATAAATTACAATAGCCACTAGGTGGCGATCGAGTATTGCTGAAAGGACAGCAAACGATAAGCTGAGTCTAAACTGTGGCCAGAAAGATGTGAAACTGAGCGGCAAATAGCCCAAATATGAAATGTTGAGGGCAACCCATGTGGTTAGTGTATTTATCGATACTACAGAAGCCGCAGCGAAAAGGAGAGCGGACATATATTCTCTCTCTAAAGAATGCAGGTGACTTAAAAACGTTTCCCCCAGAACTTTACTGAAACAGCGCTGGAACAAGCAGCGATAGTTAACCAGGTAGTCTGAAACTGCCATAGTATTCACTGCAAGTAAAGGGAAACTGAAATTAATGAAGCAGACAGACGTCTCCCCAGGTCATGGCACCAGAAATGTTGATGGCTGATGTAATACCTTGGTTCTTATCTTCATAGTTTAAAAGAATTTAAACAAGAGACACACAGCAAAAGAAGTACAGCATAATTTATTGCAAAAAAAAAGAATATTTTGAAAATTAAGTGCAGAATAGACGGTACAGTTTGAGAAAGAGATTCCAGGGCAGCCTGCTCGTAAAAGTGAGACAGCATTAATTATTGCTGGAGAAAACCTCTTTATGGGAGTTTTGCATGATTATTTCATAAGAAGGTGGAAAGAAGTGTTATAGTAAGCGTGTTCTGACTGGTCTTCTGGGTACACATGTGCAGTAGCTGTACATATTTGTGCATACATTGCATGACTCACTAGCATCTTAAATCTCCACCCAGGAATGTGTTTTTTACTATTAAAATGAACAAAGGGTCAGCTTGAGGACAGATAAAATCAAAATGCACATGCTCTGTAGAAGTAAAAGTCCCTACTGAAGATAGCGGGTTTCAAATGACCCCAAGTGCTCCACGTCTTAAACGTTCAGAGAAATGCAAATCAAAACCACTATGAGACATCATCTCACACCAGTTAGAATGGCAATCATTAAAAAGTCAGGAAACAACAGGTGCTGGAGAGGATGCGGAGAAATAGGAACACTTTTACACTGTTGGTGGGACTGTAAACTAGTTCAACCATTGTGGAAGTCAGTGTGGCGATTCCTCAGGGATCTAGAACTAGAAATACCATTTGACCCAGCCATCCCATTACTGGGTATATACCCAAATGAGTATAAATCATGCTGCTATAAAGACACATGCACACGTATGTTTATTGCGGCGCTATTCACAATAGCAAAGACTTGGAACCAACCCAAATGTCCAACAATGATAGACTGGATTAAGAAAATGTGGCACATATACACCATGGAATACTATGCAGCCATAAAAAATGATGAGTTCATATCCTTTGTAGGGACATGGATGAAATTGGAAACCATCATTCTCAGTAAACTATCGCAAGAACAAAAAACCAAACACCGCATATTCTCACTCATAGGTGGGAATTGAACAATGAGATCACATGGACACAGGAACGGGAATATCACACTCTGGGGACTGTGGTGGGGTCGGGGGAGGGGGGAGGGATAGCATTGGGAGATATACCTAATGCTAGATGACACATTAGTGGGTGCAGCGCACCAGCATGGCACATGTATACATATGTAACTAACCTGCACAATGTGCACATGTACCCTAAAACTTAGAGTATAATAAAAAAAAAATAAATATAAAAAAAAAAGAAACTTGTCAATTAAAAAAAAAAAAAAAGTTCCTCTGGTAAAGCTGGAACACTATCTGTTCCTGAGGTATCAGGTCCCATTTGTGGCTCTGAGCCACTGGCAAGCCAGGCCTGACTTGAGATGAGACCAATGATTTCAAGTGTAAAATGCCTAAATAGTCAGTAGCTTCAGGTTGCATTTTGGAGCTTGTCCACTTAAGTGGGCTGATGAAAATGGCTCACAAGACTCACGCCTCAGAAATGGGGTTTTTTCCTTTGCTCTTAGGAGATTTTATGCACCCAATAATTAACCTTTCTGATGCCTAGACTTTCACATTCGTGAAAAAGGCGCCATTGAGAGTGACCTTTCCAGGAAGCCACAGCCCTTGTCACCCCTGCAGAGCTCTGAAGCTGCTCACAAGCAGGCCAGGTGGAAGGTTTCTCTCAAAAACGGTTGAGTGTGTGCTCTGGCTAGAGAAAAAAGAGGGCTGCGGCACAACGGACAGTGTCTTGGACATCAGGAAAGTTCTCACGCAGTTTAGGAAAGAAGGCAGAACCCTGGGCTGCAGAAGACGTACTGCTCTGGAAAGAACCCTGGGTGCAACTGAAAGAGGAACCTGAGAAGGATAGGGCCAAGCGGGTTAGGAAAACCCACCCGATTTGGGAAAAGGTAAGGTATCTTTGTAGGGTAATACCCTCCTCAACGCTCACCCCAGACCTGCCCTCCAGGGGCACCTCTGTACTCACTCTCCTTGCAAAGTGTCAGCATAGCATCAGAACTCAGCAGTGCTTTGGACACCGGGACGTCCACACCGCTCTGCCCCTCCCTCCAGGGCTATGGACCCCGGATCCCGGTACATGCTGGGATTATAGCTCTGAAGCTTGCCGACAAACAGGCTGAGAGTAGTTAACGGACTACAGCTCCCAGCATATTAGGTGGGGCGGGTACCACTCTGCCCCTTCTTCCAGGGCTGCGCCTTGCCCTGGAACCTGGTGCATGCTGGGATTGTAGTCCTGTAGCCCTTTGACCAAAGGGTTGGGAGTGTTTATGAGAATGCATCTTCCAACAATCCTAGGGAGGCGCGCACAGCCCTGCCTCTTCCTCCAGTGACGCGCACTTTCCCAGAGCCCGGTGCATGCTAGGATTGTAGTGCTGTAGCCCTGTGACCAAAGGGCTGGGAGTGTTTATGAGACTGCATTTCCCAGCAAGACCAGCGAGACGCGCGGAGCCTCGTCCCTTACTCCAGTGATTAGCGCACTCTCCCTGAGCCTGGTGCATGCTGGGATTGCAGTGCTGCAGCCCTGTGACCAAACAGCTTTGTTATAGTTATCTGTGAAGTGTTCAACAAACTACTTTACTTCATTATTACTGGAAGCCAGAAGCTCAGTTGTGTTCACTTTTTGGATTTTATATAAGTGAGATTGTGTAATATGTATACTTTTATATCTACTTTCTTCTATGCAACGTTATATTTATGATATTAATTCATGATATTGCAGATAGCTATAGTTTAATTAAAAATTATTTTTTACATTGTGGTAAAGTATACATAAAATTAACCATTTTAGCTATTTTAAGTGTGCAGCTCAGAAAAATTAACTACTTTCACATTGTTTTGCAACTGTCATTACAACTCATAGGGACCTTCTTTCAACTTGCAGAAACAAAACTCTATACCCATTAAATAAGCTCCTTTTTACTCCCCCTCTAGCTCCTAGGAACCACTCTTCTGTTTGGGTTTCTAGAATTTAACTACTCTAAGTATCTCATAAGTGGAATGATTCAGTATTTGTCCTTTTATGACTGGCTCATGTCACTTTGGACAATGTCCTTAAGGTTCATGCATGACGTACCATGTGTCAGAATTTCCTTATTTTATGTAGCTGAATAACATTCCACTGTATGTATAAATCACATTTTATCTATTAATCATTGATGGTAATTCAAACAACACTTGAGTAATTCAAACACCTTTTTGGTGATGTGAGTAATGCTGCTATGAACCTAGGTGTATGTGTATTATTTTGTGTCTTTGCTTTCATATCTTTTGCTGCATACCCAGATGTGAAATTGCTGGATCGTATGGTGATTTTATGTGTAAATTTTTTAGTTACTGTGTTGTTATTTTATAGCAGCTGTAGCATTTTACATTTCCACCAACAGTGTACAAGGATTCTAATTGCTCCACGTCCTCACCAACTCTTCTGATTTTCTGTTTTGTTTTTTTTTTTCTTTTGGTAGTAGCTATGCTGATGGGTATTAAGTGATATGTCATTTGGGGTTAGATTTGCATTTCACTAATGATGAGTTTTGTTGAGCGTCTTTTCATGTGCTCATTAGCCACTTTACATAATTTTTAGCGAAATGACTGCTTAAGTTTTTGCCAATATTTTAAACAAGTAGTTTGTTGTATTGTTCCTGAATTGTTCTTTGTATATTCTGGATAGATTCCTATTCGTCTATTTTTCTTTTGTTTCTTGTGTTTTGGGTGTCCTGTTTAAAAAAATCTGCCAAATGCAGTGTTATGACGTGTTTCCCCTATATTTTATTCTAAGAATTTTGTAGTTTTAGCTCTTACATTTAGGTATTTGATCCAGTTAGTTAATTTTTTCTTACAGTATAAGTGAAGGGCCCAGGTTCATTCTTTTACATGTGGGTACATAATATCCCCAGCACCAGTAGTTGTGAAGACAGTACTTGGCTGGGCGCGATGGCTCACGCCTGTAATCCCAGCACTTTGGGAGGCCGAGGCGGGCGGATCACGAGGTCAGGAGATCAAGACCATCCTGGCTAGCAAGGTGTCCGCTGTGCTCCTGATCCAGCGAGGAAACCATTGCCACTCCCAATAGGGCTAAAGGCTCGCCATTGTTCCTGCATGGCTAAGTGCCTGGGTTCATCCTAATCAAGCTGAACACTAGTCACTGGGTGCCACGGTTCTCTTCCGTGACCCACAGCTTCTAATAGAGCTGTAACACTCACCGCATGGCTCAAGATTCCATTCCTTGGAATCTGTGAGGCCAAGAGCCCCAGGTCAGAGAACAGGAGGCTTGCCACCATCTTGGAAGTGGCCTGCCAAAATTATGGAAGTGGCTCGCCACCATCTTGGGAGCTTTGGGAGCAAGGACCGCCCCATGGTAACAGCACCTTAACTATGCATCCCCAAGGACCTACAGATCACAGGGCAATAGGGGCTGTGAGGGAGTTGTCTAGATTTCCCAAGGTGGAGGAGGCAAAAGAGGAGATGGATCCCAAGCTCCTGCACCAGCACCAGCGAGAGACAAAGGCCCCGCCAAACGCAGGAAGCCACGCCCTCCTCTCTTCTCAAACTGCGCGCCGGATTGGGTGGTTCCCTCACAAGCGCCACTGATTGAATAAAACGCCCGGACCCACCCACCCGCGCCTCACCCCAGCCCCTACCCCACTCACCCTGAGCGTTAGTGCATTTTTGTTTGTTTCTTTGTTTTTCTTTAAGTTTTGGGATACATGTGCAGAACGTGCAGGTTTGTTACAGAGGTTTACATGTGCCATGGTGGTTTTCTGCACCTATCAACCTGCCATCTAGGTTTTAAGCCCCACAAGCATTAGATATTTGTCCTAATGCTCTCCCTCCCCTTGACCCCAACCCCCTAACAGGCCCCAGTGTGTGGTGTTTCCTTCCGGTGTACATGTGTTCTGATTGTTCAACTCCCACATATGAGTGAGAACATATGGTGTTTGGTTTCCTGTTTCCTGTGTTAGTTTGCTGAGGACAATGGTTTCCAGCTTCACTCACGTCCCTGCAAAGGACATGAACTCATTCTTTTTTATGGCTGCATAGTATTCCATGGTGTATATGTGCCACATTTTCTTTTTCCATTCTATCATTGATGGACATTTGGGTTGGTTCCAAGTCTTTGTTATTGTAAACAGTGCTGCAATAAACGTAAATGTGCATGCTTCTTTATAGTAGAATGATTTATATTCCTTTGGATATATACCCAGTAATGGGATTGCTGGGTCAAATGGCATTTCTGCTTGTAGATCCTTGAGGAATCACCACACTGTCTTCCACAATGGTTGAACTAATTTACACTCCCTCCAGCAGTGTAAAAACGTTTCTATTTCTCCGCAGCCTCACCAACATCTGTTGTTTCCTGACTTTTTAATAATTGCCATTCCAACTGGCGTGAGATGGTATCTCATTGTGGTTTTGATTTGCCTTTCTCTAATAACCAGTGATGATGAGATTTTTTTTAATATTTGTTGGCCACATAAATGTCTTCTTCTTCTCCTTCTTCTCCTTCTTCTCCTTCTTCTTCTCCTTCTTCTTCTCCTTCTTCTTCTTCTTTGAGACAAAGTCTTGCTCTGTCACCCAGGCTGGAATGCAGTGGCAGGATCTTGGCTCACTGCAACATCTGCTTCCCGGGTTCAAGTGATTCTCCTGATTCAGCCTCCCGAGAAGCTGGGATTACAGGCACCTGCCAATATGCCTGGCTAATTTTTTGTGTTTTCAGTAGAGACGAGATTTCACCATGTTGGCCAGGCTGGTCTCAAAACTCCTGACCTCATGATCCACCTGCCTCCACGTTCCAAAGTGCTGGGATTACAGGTGTGAGCCACCACACTCAGTCAAATATCTTCTTTTGAGAAGGGTCTGTTCATATCCTCTGCCCACTTTTTGATGGTGTTTTTTTTTCTTGTGAATTCGTTTAAGTTCCTTGTAGATTCCGGATGTTAGACCTTTGTCAGATGGATAGATATTACAAAAATTTTCTCATTCTGTAGGTTGCCTTTCACTCTGATGATAGCTTCTTTTGCTGTGCAGAAGCTCTTTAATTAGATCTCATTTATCAATTTTGGCTTTTGTTGCAATTGCTTTTGGTATTTTAGTCATGAATTCTTTGCTCATGCCTATGTCCTGAATGGTGTTGCCTAGGTTTTCTTCTAGGGTTTTTATGGTTTAGGGTTTTACATTTAAGACTTTAATCCATCTTGAGATAATGTTTAAGGTGTAAGGAAGGGGTGCAGTTTCTGTTTTCTGCATATGGCTAGCCAGTTTTTTCAGCACCATTTGTTAAATAGAAAATCTTTCCCCATTGCTTGTTTTTGTCAGGTTTGTCGAAGATCAGATGGTTGTAGATGTGTGGTGTTATTTCTGAGGTCTTCGTTCTGTTCCATTGGTCTATATATCTGTTTTGGTACCAGTACCGTGGTGTTTTGGTTACTGTAGCCTTGAAGTATATTTTGAAGTCTGGTAGCATGATGCCTCCAGCTTTGTTGTTTTTGCTTAGGATTGTCTTGGGTGGACAGGCAAACAGGCTCGAATAGTTGGGTTCACATGCCCAGAGTATCACAGATAATTAAGAAGTGAGCTGAGACTTGAAATGCGCATGCTCTTTCCCTTGCCAGGATCTGTTGAGTCATGCATCTTAGCAGCTATTTAAGGGTAGGAAGTAGAACATTTGGACATCTTTTTAACAACATTTTAGGCATTTTCATAATGCAGGAAAGACCCTCATCCCACCCCTGAGCCCCTCACTCACCACGCTGCACCTCACTGCTGACCACATCATGGGGTGGCCATTATCAGGCGGGCCAGAATCAGGCCAGAATAAGGCGGGCAGCAGGGGCTGGGAATAAATAAGCAAGAATGATGTTGCCCATATTTGCTCATCTTAGAAAGGCTTCACAACCATTCTGTGTGAAGTGATTATTCCAGGGTAATTGTGCCCTGACTGTGCTGCATGTCAGTCTGACATGTCTTTTTGAAAATCACTGGATTACTCTCATTAATGCGGGTATTTCTGTTTCTATTTGAAAATGGCCAAGTGTCCTCTGGAGGTGTCCTGATTTGGTTTGCTAGTTTAGACCCTGAAGGTAGCAGTGAGAAAATGTTTTGACCACATCAGAATACCTATTCTCAGCTGGAGTAGATATAGAAATTTCTTAATAATATTTAACCGTTTTCTCAATAACCATTATATTTAACGGTGATAACTGGAGGGCAGGGAGGGACACAGATGACACAATCTTCGAAGTTTAATTTGGTTATAAGGTTTTTTGTTCTTGTTTTGTTTTGCTTTGTTTTTGGATACAAGGTCTTGCTCTGGTGCCCAGGCTGGAGAGCAGTGGCACAATCATAACTCATAATTTGGTTGTAACTGTTCTTTAAAAAATATTTTTGGATGAGTTTGGTAGCTCACACTTGTAATGTAAACAATTTTGGAGGCCAAAGTGGGATGATCGCTGGATCCTATGAGTTCAAGACCAGTTTGGGCAACATAAGTAGGCTCAGCCTCTACAAAAAAATATTTAAAATTGGCTGGGTGTAGCATTGCATGCCTGTAGTGTAGTCCTCGCTGTTTGAGAAGCTGATGTGAAAGGATCACTCGAGCCTAAGAGTTTGAGGCTGCACTGACCCATGGTTCAGCCACTGCACTGACAGGCAGATGTGTGTGTGTGTGTGTGTGTGTGTGTGTGTGTGTGTATAAATAATATGGATGTGAAAATTTCAAGCCCGGGAGAAAAGTGAAAGCCCATGGTGGGGGATGTGGAGAAAGGTGAGTGTGGCTCCAGCAACTCAGTGAAACTTGGTTTTCCATCTTGAAGAATTGCCCATACACACTGAAACCATAGCCTAGAACATGCCAGTTATCACACTACACCTGCTGGGATACCACTATGTACCCTTTTTAAAAAAATAAAATCTTTCACCTAAGAGAAGCAGAAGAGAAAAGGAGGGTTTCACATCTAAAGCCTTCATTTTCTTTATGAAACAACAGTCACTTGTCATTTGAGTTGTCCAAAGGCGACTGACAGCACTAATACACTTAATGAATCAAGCAGGAAAAATGGGCCTCTCGGGTGAGGAGGAGGCACAATAGTAACTAAACCCAATCCATTCTCAGCTTTACATGGTACCCGTATCTCAAGAAGAGGTGTTAGCCATATGAACCGTTTTCACTGGACAAGGCCAGAGGAAAGAATATTTAGTACAACACAACTATGAGGCTGCAAATCAAACTGGTAGTGGGAGCATGCACAAGGCTTCAGTGGCTGAGATACTGGAGGCTACCCTTGGGTGTCACTTAAAACTTCGAGGTGAAGGACATTTTTTTCCAATTGGCTCAGGGAAACTAATAAACATTAGAATTGAAATTTGTTTTTCTTTTCAAAATTTCTAAGACATAGAGGACCCTCTAAACACTCGAAAAGACATTCAGATATACATGCAGCTGAGGACCTGCCTGCTCTGCAGAGGGATGGCTGAGCAGCAGCCACCAGCTGTAATAGCTTTAAATTTCTCCTCTCACAGGGACAGCCCACTCCCACACACACTGCTTACTTCATAGACTGTGGCCCTCAGATGCACCTGGGGGACTGCTTTCCTCCCATCTCATTAGCTCTCAAAGACAGTCCATCTCACTCTAAAACCTACACTAGGATGGTGAGTTGTAGACTCTCCTGCATTCTCCCAGTGCAGCGTGACTTCCAGAGAGTGCTCCCCCATCCTCTTACCTCAACTGATGTAAAAAGGGCCAGTGCCTGGGCAGTTAGATGTTCAGTGACCTCACAAGTCCAGCATGCCCAGGGCCTGGACCCACAGCCTGGCACCTCTCCCCTACCTGGCCTTCATGCCGGCCTTTTCTCTTCTGTCACCAATGTCAGGTGACATTCACCCGTGCCACACTCTCATGAGCATGGTAAGTGATGGGTGGGCAAACCCCAGCTGAGTGCCTGTGACTCTACCCTCTTACCTTTCACTCAAGTGACATTATAAGCATAATTTTACATTTGATTTAATTTATGCATAATCTTTTCTTATAACATTTCTGACAACAGCCCTCACAACCAAAGGAGACTGGGTTACAGAACACATGGGCAAGGCTGGGGTAGCAGGTTTCACTTACTTTATTCCAATGTGAAATGAAGATGTGATGGTTTAAAACCAAGACAAAGTTGTTTATCAGCTGTGGGGTTGCTACACTTGCTAGCTCATGCTCACTTCCTTTGAAACAAGGAATCTGGAGAGACTATATTCATAAGTAGCTCTTTGCAAACCCCCAGGCAGAAGCCCCAGTCAGACACAGCTCCCTCAGGCTCTCAGGGTGGCAACCTCCTCCTCCATGTTGGGCTCTGACAGCAGGCAAGGGAAGCAGCACAGGCAGCGGGGGACAGGAACCCACCCAGGGCCATAGGGATCCTCAAATGCCCCAGAGCTATTCTCTGTAGAAAGGGCTGTGTGGCAAGGACCAGGTACGGAGCTGGTTTCCACAGAGAGGTGACAACCACTTCTGTATCTCTAAATTTCTCCCAGGATCCATGATCCAGCCCTGCTTTCCCCCAGGCCCTTCACCCACCCTGCCCCCACTGTGTGTTAGGCAGCTCAGGTTAAAATGGGAGAAAAATATATTCAGATTGTAACCTCCAAGTTTTCCCATCTGGGCTGCAGAGAGTAGGGAAGGAAGTCGGGGCCTGTGGCGGTGCCTTTTGCTGTGCCTGAGGGCAGGAAGGCCAGGGCTGGGCACATGGATGTCTCTGAGACCACCACTGCTGACTCCCTCCCCCTCACCTGGAGCTACAACCAGCCCAGGCTATCACGATTAATAAAACCACTGCAGCTCTCATCCTGTCACAAAACTAACGTGCACCCAACCGCAGCCCTACACAGATCCCTGGCTTCCTATCCCAGAACACAGAAAATCCTCTTATCTTTTTTACTTAAAACCTGCACTTTAAGCCAGATTGGGCCTGTGGATAGTGGCAGCAAAAGCAACAGCCAGATGTATACATTCCAGATGTATACACTCAAGGGCATGGGCACATTCCACACTTGCTGAAGAATGAGAGTCCTGAGAAGCACCTGTTTCCCAGCTGTTAACTGATGTCCACACACCCCATTCATGTGTCTTCATTTAGGCTTCTGCATCATGTATTTGTTCAGCCAGTGCAAACATGTCTTCTGGGGGGCATCATTGATTGCAGCACCAGCCCCACTTGTTTTGGGAGGGAGTCAGGAGGAATCTGGTCAGCTCCTAATCCCCCAGGACAAAGGTGCTGCCCCCTTTTAAGCACTCACATCCAGCAGCACCATCTCAGGATGGTTTTTCAAACACAAGTAGCATGAGGTAGCAAGCATGGTGTGACAGGCTCAGGGCCATAGGCAGCTGGCTGCTGGAGAAGCAGCACAGGGCAGGCACATCTGTGGGTGGCACCCTGACAAGCCAAGGCAGCCACAGCCCCTACCCCCAACAGCCCCAGCCCAGATGGCATTCAAATCTTCCCAGATAGTATTGGGGTTCCTGATGCCCATCACTCCCCTGCTCATTAGCACTGCCTTGTGTTGGTTACTCAGGGACTAAGGAGAGGGGGTGGGGGATGTAGATCCAGGGTGGGCACTGCCTCACAGCCAGAGTCCACCTGACTGCAGGCCAGCAAGCAAGCCCAAGCAGCTCAGCTCTAGACACTTAGCCTCACCACCTCTGGCTACACTTTCTATGTATACTTTATGCAAAGGTAGAAAAAGATGTCAGTATTAGCTGTTGTGACATAAAAGTCTATGCCCCATTAAGACCTTCTTAAAATGCTGTTGCCTTAAGCCCTCTTTCTTCTAATAAAATTTATACAAATACACACATACAAGCTGAAACTACTATAAATGAAATATTAGGATTTTTTAAACCCATAAACAAACACTAAATCAGTCACTGTTTGAATGCAGAGAAAGTGGGAATCTAAAGCAGCTGACCCCAAAACAGCCTTAGCAAGCCCAAGGCTAGGCAGTCTGAACACTACAAGGTCACGTGATGGTCACAGAGGATGACAGCTCCCATGAGTATTCCCAGGCACTGTGTTAGCTTCTCACTCACAGAGTCTCAGAATGCCTCCTCACCAACCCTGTGAGGGAAGGCCCCACCTCACTACAGCACAAGAGCTTCCTGAGCTCTTCCCAGAAAATGGTTATCAAAGGGTGGAGCTGGGGGAAGCCCAGACAGAACAAATGAGTCCCCAGGGTCTCCTTAACCTCCCTCAGCTCCTGCACATGGGGCCCTGAGGGAAAGTGAGCTTCCTCCTAACCCCTTTGATAGGGTTCCATTACTGCAGGTCTGGACTTCCTCATTTTCTGGAACTACAGGAGGTGACAATGCAAACCCAGGCCCCTTATTTGCCATCCTTTAATGCCAGACCAGGCCGAGAGCCCTGTGCTGACACAGCCCAGCGGATGCTCGAGGCCCACCTCAGCACAGTCACCAATAGCGTACGTAGTGAGATGATCAAGGAGGTGCAAGTAGGCACAAATCCCCATGGACATGGCCTTAGGCATGTTACACAGGCTCAGGGTCTCCCTGATGAGCTCACAGCCCTCCTTCAGGGAGCCTGCAGAGCACACACCCCCAAGGACCAGTGCTCAGATGAGCAGGCAGGCCCCAGATTCCCCACCCCAGGATGCTCTGTTCCACTTTGCAGGGCTGCTGCATTGGCCAGTCCCCACTGCTTTCTGGTGGGATATTTGAGTTGAAGTGAATGTTGAAGGGCATAGAGCTGATGGAGCTGACTGCCTTGCAGATGTTGTAAATCACCTCCTGGCTCCATGGGTCAGCTGTGGAGACACAGCTTGATGGGAGGTAGCCCCACTCCACCATCAGTGGTGCTGGGCTGCCCTGATCTGCACCTTCCAGCTCCTTGCTGAGATTTCTGCATGTTTCTCTAAGGGACTGGGTCACGAGACACCCCTGGCAAGGCCCAGCTGGCAGAATAGGCTGGACACTCTCCCTCAGCCTCTCCAGCAGCCCGGCCTGTGCTGTCACCTGTGCTGATGATCTCACTTCTCTATCTTAATAACAGCATTGATAACTTTTAAGCCCTAGCAAGCTGAAACTGCAAGACAAATGATCTTCTGCCTTAGAAGGGCTATGGTTGGGCA
Organism: Homo sapiens; assembly: GCF_000001405.40. Taxonomy (NCBI): domain Eukaryota; kingdom Metazoa; phylum Chordata; class Mammalia; order Primates; family Hominidae; genus Homo; species Homo sapiens. The sequence goes on from NT_187378.1 coordinate 31,602, forward strand.
GTGTGTGCCCAGGCGAGAGCCCTGTGGTTGTTAGTGGAAGTAGGGAGATGGATGGGCCTGGCCCCATAGCCTAGTGAAAAGTAGGGCCCTCTCCTTCCAGAGCATCAAAGTCTTAGAGGCTGGAAAAAGGTGCTTGGTTAGGCTGCCAAGAAGCAGAAGGCTAGAAGGCTTTGCAAGGAACCCCAACAGACTTCAAGGTGCCTGAGACGGCTGGGCTTATACCAGCTTTCTTTGCTTTCATCCTGTTAGCAAGAAAACCTGCTCACAGATGGCAGGTGGGCCTGAGGCTCCCAGTCACTCACCAGGGATTAGGTGCCTTGATTGTGGCTGTTTCTTGAAGCAGCTGCTCAGGCCGGTTATTGCAGAGCAGTTCCCTCATTATCCACAGGTCCGTGTTCCAGCCCTGGATCTGCAAAGGGACTAGGGAGGGACTAGGCAAGGGCTCAGCCTGTGCCCCACAACCTGCTCTGAGATATCTCTTTTGTTACTTCCTCATGGACAGCCTCAAACTTCCAAATGAACAGACCAGCATGGAGCCTCCAGGAAAATGCATAGAATTCTGTCTGGTACCCAGAGGAAAGGGGGTTCCCAGTGAGGGCAGGACCAGGCTTCATGCACCTCTTCAGGAATGTTCTCCTCATAGTCCAGCCTCAAGGTGTGCATCTTCTATGTGCATGGAGTCCATGGCAGGCTCTGCCTGGGGAGCCGTCCAGCTGCACAACTGCAATGTGGTGGTGACCCTCTTGAATAGGTGGTTCTGGGCCCCAAGGCTGGCAGCAGAGAGGGAGATGTTCAGCCACCAAGCCCAGAGCCCTGTCACAGGCTTCTGTGAGGCCTCAATCTGCTCTGGGTTCTTGTCCTGAGAGGCTGCCCTGAAGTCAAACAGAAGCAGGTGGGCCTCTTCCAGGGCTGCTCTCTCCCCAACTCACAGTTCCCTAGAGGGGCACTCAGGCAGTGGGGACAGATTCTTCAGCCAGAAGCACTGGAGTTTAGGCTGGCTAGTTCATTCCATACCCCCACATGACATGACACAAGGCAGAGGCTGTGGGACAAAGGCATTGCCTTTTCTTCTGGCATGATGAATGGCTTAGGAAGCAGGGGATGGTGGGGCTGGGGTTGAGTGATGGGCTGTGGGCCACAAGGAGTGGGTGGGCACTGAGCAAGTGTCCTGGTTGTCTGTCCATAGATCCAGAATGAGTGGCATCTCAGGAGCCTGTGAGGGGCTGGCAGAGACTTACTGGTTCCAGTAAAAGCCCCATGTGGATGCAGTAATGCTGCCTGCTGGTCCTTGGCTGTAATTACAAACAGGTACATGAGGTACCCATGCATCTTGTGGCTCTCAGGGAGTGGGTTCCAGCTGCTCATGGTAGGCACTTTTAGTCACTGAACTTGCTTCAGGTATGTCCAAGCTTTATTAAGCCAGGCATCTTGCTGTGAGGCCCTCCACTTCACTAAGGACACTCTTCCTTGCTCCCCCTGGAAGTTGGACCTTCCAGTTCTGGTTCTGGAGGCACGGTGGCCCCTCCTGGACCCCTAGGAAAATGTGCTCAGGTGACACACAGTCGATGGGGCCCATTTCCAAGCCGTTCTTCCATTTCCCACTGTTTGAGGGACACGAGGCCGGTGACAAGCACAGAGCCACCCAAGGCCAGCTGTCTGCACCTAAATGTGAAGTTTGTCTGGATGTCTCAGGGCCAGAACACTCCAGGTGAAATGGCCTGGTCCTCACCACCTGGCGTCCATGCTCCCAGAAGGAAGGGCGGAGGGATGTTAGGAGGGAGGGAGGGACAGAGGGAGGGAGGCAGGGAGGAACGGAGGGAAAGACAGAGCCAGGCAGGGACTGGGGGCGGGTGGGAGGGAGCTGGGGACAGAGGGACGAAGGCAGAGAGGAAAAGCGGTCTTTGGCCTTTGGGAGGAACGGGACCCCCGCCCTCCGGGAAAACGGTAAGTGTCCGGCGCGGCCTGAGGGCTCAGCCCACAGCTGCCGCATCAGCCGGCGGGGCACTCATTCGCCCCGATTCCATGGCCCAGGGAATGGGCAGTTTCCTCAGAGACAAAAGAAGGGGACTCGGGTTGCCGTCGGGTTTTCACCCGCATGCTTCACACACCGCACATCCCCAGGCTGAGCCCCGCAACGGAGCACAAGGCCGACAGCACCGACCACGGAGGAGCAACACTCGGGACGACGGAGGCGTGATTTTGGTTTCCGCGTGGCTTTGTCCTCTGCAAGGCGGCCTGTTGCTCACGTCTCTCCAGCCCCCGAAAGGCTGGCCATGCTGACTGTTTGCTCCCGGAGCTCTGCACGCACCCGGAACATGCAGGGAAGGGTGGAAGACCGGCATGGTGCCTTCGCTCTCCTTGCCAGTTTCCAAACCGGCCACACTTCAGAATCCCCATGTACCGCACACAGGAATCCATCATCAGGCCATCATGCCGGGGAGGCATCTTCTCTCTGGGGTCTTGCTCTGGTCTCCTACATGGAGATAAATGAGAGCCACACGCCTGCGTGTGTGAGACTGTCCCGGCAACGGCGACAGCCACAGGCACTGCCTCCTTCACGCAGAGAGGGCCTGGAACACTCCAGACTCCCACTGAGGTTAAGTTCCTCACTCCCCACCACCTCCCAGGCCGGTTTCTCCCTGCTGAAGACGCATGGGAGCCCAGAGAGCGGCTTCCAGTTCCCATGGGATTCCTGGAGAGGCCTGGAGAGCCAGCCCCCAAAACGTGCCCCCCTCACCCCTTCCCCCTCGTCCCCTTGCTCTTCGTCTCTCCGGCCCCACCACCACCATCACCACGCCCTCCCACACCACCACACCACCCCCTGGCAGCAGGCCTCGACGCCCAGGGACCCTTCCGGGGTGGGGCGGGCAGTCCCAGGGCTCACCGCCATTCATGAAGGGATGGTGCCTGCCTGCCGGCCGGCCTTTATAAGAGCCGCTGGCTCGCTTTCCGGGCAGACCTACAGGCTGCACCTGCCGCAGTGCACAGGCCGCCTGAGGTGCACGGGAGCCCGCCGGCCTCTCTCTGCCCATGTCCGTCCATGAAACTCCGGCTGGGGCTCCCCACGATGGCCCTCCTGAAACCTTCGGACAGCACCCTCCCAGCGGAAGCCTGGGGACGGGGATGGCGAAGGAGACTCGTTTGGACCCTGAGCCAAAGCAAGGCCCTGCGAGTCTGCTTTGAGCGGAACCCGTAACCGGGCATCGCCACCAGAGAACGGCTGGCCCAGGCCATCAGCATTCCGGAGCCTAGGGTCCAGATTTGGTTTCAGAATGAGAGGTCACGCCAACTGAGGCAGCACCTGCGGGAATCTAGGTCCTGGCGCGGGAGATGCGGCCCAAAAGAAGGCAGGTGAAAGCGGATCGCCGTCACCAGATCCCAGACTGCCCTGCTCCTCCGAGCCTTTGAGAAGGATCGCTTTCCAGGCAATGCCGCCAGGGAAGAGCTGGCCAGAGAGACCGGCCTCCCGGAGTCCAGGATTCAGATCTGGTTTCAGAATCTAAGGGCCAGGCACCTAGTACAGGCTGGCAGGGCGCTCCTGCAGGCAGGTGCCCGGTGCAACGAGGCCCCCAGTGGGTTCACCCTGCTCCCTCGTGGGTCGCCTTCGCCTACACCGGCGCGTGGGGAACGGGGCTTCCCACACCCCACCTGCCCTGCGCGCCTGGGGCTCTCCCACAGGGGGCTTTCATGAGCCAGGGAGCGAGGGCCGTCCCCGTGCTCCAGCCCAGCCAGGCCGCGCCGGCAGAGGGGATCGCCCAACCTGCCCCGGCATGCGGGGATTTTGCCTACGCCACCCAGGCTCCTCCGGAAGGGGCGCTCTCCCACCCTCAGACTCCTCAGTGGACTCCGCACCCGGGCAAAAGCTGGGAGGACCGGGACACGCAGCGCCATGGCCTGACGGGCCCTTGCGCGGTGGGACAGCCTGGGCCCTCTCAAGCGGGGCCAGAGGGCCAAGGTGTGCTTTGGACACCCGTGTCCCAGGGGAGTCCGTGGTGGGGCTGGGGCCGGGGTCCCCAGGACTCTGGGGAGGCATGGAAACCCCAAGACGGGGCAGCTTCACATCACCAGCCCGTGCCCCCGGAGGCCTTCGCATGACAGGGGCAGATGCAAGGCATCCCGGCGCCCTCCCAGGCGCTCCAGGAGCCAGGGCGCTCATCTGCACTGCCCTCCAGCCTGCAGCTGGATGAGCTCCTGGCGAGCCCGGAGTTTCTGCAGCAGGCGCAACCTTTCCTAGAAACGGAGGCCCCGGGGGAGCTGTAGGCCTTGGAAGAGGCCGCCTCACTGGAAGCACCCCTCAGCGAGGAAGAATACGGGGCTCTGCTGGAGGAGCTTTAGGACGTGTGGTTGGGACGGGGTCGGGTTGCTGCAGGGCGGTAGCCTCTCTTTCGCAGGGAACACCTGGCTGCCTATGGAGGGGAGTTTCTTCCCCCCGCCCCCTCCACCGGGCTGACCGGCCTGGGATTCCTGCCTTCTAGGTCTAGGCCCGGTGAGAGAATCCACGCAGCGCAGAAATGCGATTCTTTCCTGGGCTTCCCGGGGATCCCAGAGCCGGCCCAGGTACCAGCAGGTGGGCCGCCTACTGCGCACGCGCGGGTTTGCGGGCAACCGCCTGGGCTGTGGGAGGAGCCCGGGTAGAGCTCTCATGCCTTTCCACCACATCACCGCCCCCTGACCACACCATCCCCACCTCCACCACCCAGCCCGGGAAAATGCATCCTCCCCTGGGCTGGGTGGAGACCCACATCCCGCGAAACACCGGGCCCGCGCAGCTTCCAGGCCTGACACCCCTCCAGCGGCTCACCTCCTCTGCGCCTCCGCGCCACAATCGCCGGCTCGCCCGTGCCCCTGCAACACCCCAGCTGTCACCATGGATCGCCTGACGGTGGAATACAGACTTCTAGCTCGCTTTGCCGGCCTCCTGGCTAGACCTGTACTCATTGCACACCCTGGCTGACATGCAAGGGAGCCCGCTGGCCTCTCTGTGCCCTTGTCGGTCCGTGAAATTCCGTCTGAGGCTCTCCCAACACCTTCCGTAGCTCTTTAGTCACAGCCTGGAGAATAGTTACATCTCCTGGATGATCAGTTCAGAAATATGTCACAATGCACCCTCCCGGCGGAGCCTAGAGAAGATTTGCATTATTTGGGTGATCATTGCAGAGATATATCACAATGTCCCCTGTACAAAAAGCCTGGAAATGATTTACATCACCTCGGTGATCAGTGCATAGGTATGTCAGAAATCCCCAGTAGGCTGAACCTAGACAGGGGATACATCACTTAGGTGATCAGTGTAGAGATATGTGAAAATTCCCGTGTAGACAGAGCCTAGACAAATGTTACATCACCTAGTGATAAGTGCAAGGATAAGTCGTAAAGCTTCCTGTAGGCAGAGTATAGACAAGTGTTTCCTCCCTGGGGTAATCAGTGCAGAGATATGTCACAAAGCCCCTGTAAGCAGAACCTTGACAAGGGTTACATCACCTGTTTGATCAGTGGAAATGTATATCACAAAGCCCCCTGTAGGCAAAGCCCAGACAATTGTTACATCACCTGGGAGAGCAGTGGAGAGATCTGTCAAAATGCCCCTGTAGGCAGAGCTTAGAAAAGGGTTACATCACCTAGGTGATCAGTGCAGAGATATATCAAAACGCTCCTGTAGGCTGAACCTAGACAGCAGTTACATCACCTGGGTGATCAGTGTAGAGATATTTCACAATGCCCCCTGTAGACAGAGAGTGGACAAGAGTGACATAACCTAGGAGATCTGTGCAGAGCTATGTCAAAACGGCCCTGTAGGCAGAGCCTAGATAAATGTTACATCACCTGGGTGATCAGTGCAGAGATATGTCACAAAGCCCCTGTAGGGAGAGCCTAAACAAGAGTTAAGTCACCTGGGTGATGAGTGCAGAAATATGTCACAAAGCCCCTGTAGGCCGAGCCTAGACAAGTGTTACATCTCCTGATGATCATTGCAAAGTATGTCACAAACCCCTGTAGACAAATCCCAGAAAATTGTTACATCACCTGGGTAATCAGGGAAGATATCTGTCACAATTCCCCTTTAGACACAGCTTAGACAAGAGTTACATCACATGAGTGATCAGTGCAGAGATATGCCACTATGCCCCCATAGGCAGATCCAAGACAAGAGTCCATCACATGGGTGATCAGTGCAGAGTTATGTCACAATGCCCCGTTTTGGCAGAGCCTAGACAAATGTTACATCACCTGGGTGATCAGTGCAGAGACCTGTCACAAGACCCCTGTAGCCAGAGCCTAGACAAGGGTTACATCAGCTGAGTGATCAGTGCAGTGACAGGTCATAATGTCGCTGTAGCCATATCTTTGACAAATGTGACATTACCTTGGTGATCAGTGCGGAAATATGTCACAATGTCTCCAGTAGGCAGAGCCCAGACAAGAGTTACATCACCAGGGTGATCACGGCAGAGATGTGTCACAATGCCCCCTGTAAGCACATCCCAGAAAAGATTTGCATCACCTCGGTGATCAG
>NT_187379.1:0-39555 GCF_000001405.40 Homo sapiens
CACCAGGAGATGTAACACTTGTCTAGGCTCGGCCTACAGGGGCTTTGTGACATATTTCTGCACTCATCACCCAGGTGACTTAACTCTTGTTTAGGCTCCCCCTACAGGGGCTTTGTGACATATCTCTGCACTGATCACCCAGGTGATGTAACTCCTGTCTAGGCTCCACCTACAGGGGGTATTGTGGCATATCTCTGCACTGATCACCCAGGTGATGTAACATTTATCTAGGCTCTGCCTACAGGGCCGTTTTGACATAGCTCTGCACAGATCACCTAGGTTATGTCACTCTTGTCCGCTCTCTGCCTACAGGGGGCATTGTGAAATATCTCTGCACTGATCACCAAGGTGATGTAACTCCTGTCTAGGTTCAGCCTACAGGAGCGTTTTGATATATCTCTGCACTGATCACCTAGGTGATGTAACCCTTTTCTAAGCTCTGCCTACAGGTGCATTTTGACAGATCTCTCCACTGCTCTCCCAGGTGATGTAACAATTGTCTGGGCTTTGCCTACAGGGGGCTTTGTGATATACATTTCCACTGATCAAACAGGTGATGTAACCCTTGTCAAGGTTCTGCTTACAGGGGCTTTGTGACATATCTCTGCACTGATTACCCCAGGGAGGAAACACTTGTCTATACTCTGCCTACAGGAGGCTTTACGACTCATCCTTGCACTTATCACTAGGTGATGTAACACTTGTCTAGGCTCTGTCTACACGGGAATTTTCACATATCTCTACACTGATCACCTAAGTGATGTATCCCTTGTCTAGGTTCAGCCTACTGGGGATTTCTGACATACCTATGCACTGATCACTGAGGTGATGTAAATCATTTCCAGGCTTTTTGTACAGGGGACATTGTGATATATCTCTGCACTGATCACCCAAATAATGCAAATCTTCTCTAGGCTCCGCAGGGAGGGTGCATTGTGACATATTACTGAACTGATCATCCAGGAGATGTAACTATTCTCCAGGCTGTGACTAAAGAGCTACGGAAGGTGTTGGGAGAGCCTCAGACGGAATTTCATGGACCGATAAGGTCACAGAGAGGCCAGTGGGCTCCCTTGCATGTCAGCCAGGGTGTGCAATGAGTACAGGTCTAGCTAGGAGGCCGGCAAAGCGAGCTAGAAGTCTGCATTCCACCGTCAGGCGATCCATGGTGGCAGCTGGGGTGCTGCAGGGGCACGGGCGGGCCGGCGATTGTGGCGCGGAGGCGCAGAGGAGGTGAGCCGCTGGAGGGGTGTCAGGCCTGGACGCTGCGCGGGCCTTGTGTTTCGCGGGATGTGGGTCTCCACCCAGCCCAGGGGAGGATGCATTTTCCGGGGCTGGGTTGTGGAGGTGGGGATGGTGTGGTCAGGAGGCGGTGGTGTGGTGGAAAGGCATGAGAGCTCTGCCCGGGCTCCTCCCACAGCCCAGGCGGTTGCCCGCAAACCCGCACGTGCGCAGTAGGCGGCCCACCTGCTGGTACCTGGGCCGGCTCTTGGATCCCCGGGAAGCCCAGGAAAGAATCACATTTCTGCGCTGTGTGGATTCTCTTACCGGGCCTAGACCTAGAAGGCAGGAATCCCAGGCCGGTCAGCCCGGTGGAGGGGGCGGGGGAAGCAACTCCCCTCCATAGCCAGCCAGGTGTTCCCTGCGAAAGAGAGGCTACCGCCCTGCCGCAACCCGACCCCGTCCCAACCGCACGTCCTAAAGTTCCTCCAGCAGAGCACCGTATTCTTCCTCGCTGAGGGGTGCTTCCAGTGAGGCGGCCTCTTCCAAGGCCTACAGCTCCCCCGGGGACTCTGTTTCTAGGAAAGGTTGCGCCTGCTGCAGAAACTCCGGGCTCGCCAGGAGCTCATCCAGCTGCAGGCTGGAGGGGAGTGCAGATGAGCGCCCTGGCTCCTGGAGCGCCTGGGAGGGCGCTGGGATGCCTTGCATCTGCCCCTGCCATGCGAAGGTCTCCGGGGGTGTGGGCTGGTGATGTGGAGCTGCCCCATCTTGGGGTTTCCACGCCGCCCCAGAGTCCTGGGGACCCCGGCCCCAGCCCCACCACGGACTCCCCTGGGACACGGGTGTCCAAAGCACACCTTGGCCCTCTGGCCTCGCTTGAGAGGGCCCAGGCTGTCCCACCGCGCAAGGGCCCGTCAGGCCATGGCGCTGCGTGTCCCGGTCCTCCCAGCTTTTGCCCGGGTGCGGAGTCCACTGAGGAGCCTGAGGGTGGGAGAGCGCCCCTTCCAGAGGAGCCTGGGTGGCGTAGGCAAAATCCCCGCATGCCGGGGCAGGTTGGGCTATCCCCTCTGCCGGCGCGGCCTGGCTGGGCTGGAGCACGGGGACGGCCCTCGCTCCCTGGCTCGCAGGGCACGTGGGGTGTGGGAAGCCCCGTTCCCCACGCACCGGTGTGGACGAAGGCGACCCACGAGGGAGCAGGGTGAACCCGCTGCGGGCCTCGTTGCACCGGGCACCTGCCTGCGGGAGTGCCCTGCCAGCCTGTACCACGTGCCTGGCCCTTCGATTCTGAAACCAGATCTGAATCCTGGACTCTGGGAGGCCGGTCTCTCTGGCCAGCTCTTCCCTGGCGGCATTGCCTGGAAAGCGATCCTTCTCAAAAGCTCGGAGGAGCAGGGCAGTCTGGGAACTGGTGACTGCGGTCCGCTTTCACCTGCCTTCTTGCAGGCTGCATCTCCCGGGCCAGGACCTAGATTCCCGCAGGTGCTGCCTCAGTTGGCGTGACCTCTCATTCTGAAACCAAATCTGGACCCTGGGCTCCGGAATGCTGATGGCCTGGGACAGCCGTTCTCTGGTGGCGATGCCCGGTTACGGGTTCCACTCAAAGCAGGCTCGCAGGGCCTCGCTTTGGCTAGGGGTCCAAACGAGTCTCCTTCACCATCCCCGTCCCCAGGCTTCCGCTGGGAGGGTGCTGTCCGAAGGTTTCAGGAGGGCCATCGTGGGGAGCCCCAGCCGGAGTTTCACGGACGGACATGGGCAGAGAGAGGCCGGCGGGCTCCCGTGCACCTCAGGCGGCCTGTGCACTGCGGCAGGTGCAGCCTGTAGGCCTGCCCGGAAAGCGAGCCAGCGGCTCTTATAAAGGCCGGCAGGCAGGCAGGCACCACCCCTTCATGAATGGCGGTGAGCTCTGGGACTGCCCGCCCCACCCCGGAAGGGTCCCTGGGCGTCGAAGCCTGCTGCCAGGGGGTGGTGGGGTGGTGTGGGAGGGCGTGGTGATGGTGGTCATGGGGCCGGAGAGACGAAGAGCAAGGGGACGAGGGGGATAGGGTGACGGGGGCGCGTTTCGGGGGCTGGCTCTCCAGACCTCTCCAGGAATCCCATGGGAACTGGAAGCCGCTCTCTGGGCTCCCATGCGTCTTCAGCAGGGAGAAACCGGCCTGGGAGGGTGGTGGGGACTGTGGAACTTAACCTAAGTGGGAGTCTGGAGTGTTCCAGGCCCTCTCTGCGTGAAGGAGGCAGTGCCTGTGGCTGTCGCCGTTGCCGGGACAGTCACACACGCAGGCGTGTGGCTCTCATTTATCTCCATGTAGGAGACCAGAGCAAGACCCCGGAGAGAAGATGCCTCCCCGGCGTGATGGCCTGACGATGGATTCCCGTGTGCGGTACATGGGGATTCTGAAGTGTGGCCGGTTTGGAAACTGGCAAGGAGAGCGAAGGCACCATGCCGGTCTTCCACCCTTCCCTGCATGTTCCGGGTGCTCGCAGAGCTCCGGGAGCAAACAGTCAGCATGGCTAGCCTTTCGGGGGCTGGAGAGACATGAGCAACAGGCCGCCTTGCACAGGACAAAGCCACGCGGAAACCAAAATCACGCCTCCGTCGTCCCGAGTGTTGCTCCTCCGTGGTAGGTGCTGTTGGCCTTGTGCTCCGTTGCGGGGCTCAGCCTGGGGATGTGTGGTTTGTGAAGCATGCGGGTGAAAACCCGACGGCAACCCGAGTCCCCGTCTTTTGTCTCAGAGGAAACTGCCCATTCCCTGGGCCACGGAATCGGGGCGAATGAGTGCCCCGCCGGCCGATGCTGCGGCTGTGGGCTGAGCCCTCAGCCCGCGCCGGACACTTACGGTTTTCCCGGAGGGTGGGGGTCCCGTTCCTCCCGGAGGCCAAAGACCGCTTTTCCTCTCTGCCTTCGTCCCTCTGTCCCCAGCTCCCTCCCACCCTCCCCCAGTCCCTGCCTGGCTCTGTCTTTCCCTCCGTTCCTCCCTGCCTCTCTCCCTCTGTTCCTCCCTCCCTCCTAACATCCCTCCGCCCTTCCTTCCAGGAGCATGGACGCCAGGTGGTGAGGACCAGGCCATCTCACCTGGAGTGTTCTGGCCCTGAGACATCCAGACAAGCTTCACATTTAGGTGCAGACAGCTGGCCTTGGGTGGCTCTGTGCTTGTCACCGGCCTCGTGTCCCTCAAACAGTGGGAAATGGAAGAAAGGCTTGGAAATGGGCCCCATCGACTGTGTGTCACCAGAGCACATTTTCCTAGGGTTCCAGGAGGGGCCATCGTGTCTCCAGAACCAGAACTGGAAGGTCCAACTTCCAGGGGGAGCAAGGAAGAGTGTCCTTAGTGAAGTGGAGGGCCTCACAGCAAGATGCCTGGCTTAATAAAGCTTGGACATACCTGAAGCATGTTCAGTGACTAAAAGTGCCTACCATGAGCAGCTGGAACCCACTCCCTGAGAGCCTCAAGATGCATGGGTACCTCATGTACCTGTTTGTAATTACAGCCAAGGACCAGCAGGCAGCATTACTGCATCCACATGGGGCTTTTACTGGAACCAGTAAGTCTCTGCCAGCCCCTCACAGGCTCCTGAGATGCCACTCATTCTGGATCTATGGACAGACAACCAGGACACTTGCTCAGTGCCCACCCACTCCTTGTGGCCCACAGCCCGTCACTCAACCCCAGCCCCACCATCCCCTGCTTCCTAAGCCATTCCTCATGCCAGAAGAAAAGGCAATGTCTTTATCCCACAGCCTCTACCTTGTGTCATGTCATGTGGGGGTATGGAATGAACTGGCCAGCCTAAACTCCAGTGCTTCTGGCTGAAGAATCTGTCCCCACTGCCTGAGTGTCCCTCTAGGGAGCTGTGAGTTGGGGAGAGAGCAGCCCTGGAAGAGGCCCACCTGCTTCTGTTTGACTTCAGGGCAGCTTCTCAGGGCAAGAACCAAGAGCAGATGGAGGCCTCACAGAAGCCTGTGACAGGGCTCTGGGCTTGGTGGCTGAACATCTCCCTCTCTGCTGCCAGCCTTGGGGCCCAGAACCACCTATTCAAGAGGGTCACCACCACATTGCAGTTGTGCAGCTGGACGGCTCCCCAGGCAGAGCCTGCCATGGACTCCATGCACACAGAAGATGCACACCTTGAGGCTGGACTATGAGGAGAACATTCCTGAAGAGGTGCATGAAGCCTGGTCCTGCTCTCACTGGGAACCCCCTTCCCTCTGGGTACCAGACAGAATTCTATGCACTTTCCTGGAGGCTCCATGCTGGTCTGTTCATTTGGAAGTTTGAGGCTGTCCATGAGGAAGTAACAAAAGAGATATCTCAGAGCAGGTTGTGGGGCACAGGCTGAGCCCTTGCCTAGTCCCTCCCTAGTACCTTTGCAGAGCCAGGGCTGGAACAAGGACCTGTGGATAATGAGGGAACTGCTCTGCAATAACCGGCCTGAGCAGCTGCTTCAAGAAACAGCCACAATCAAGGCACCTAATCCCCGGTGAGTGACTGGGAGCCTCAGGCCCACCTGCCATCTGTGAGCAGGTTTTCTTGCTAACAGGATGAAAGCAAAGAAAGCTGGTATAAGCCCAGCCGTCTCAGGCACCTTGAAGTCTGTTGGGGTTCCTTGCAAAGCCTTCTAGCCTTCTGCTTCTTGGCAGCCCAACCAAGCACCTTTTTCCAGCCTCTAAGACTTTGATGCTCTGGAAGGAGAGGTCCCTACTTTTCACTAGGCTATGGGGCCAGGCCCATCCAGCTCCCTACTTCCACTAACAACCACAGGGCTCTCACCTGGGCACACACTGACCAACCATAGCCCTTCTAAGGCAGAAGATCATTTGTCTTGCAGTTTCAGCTTGCTAGGGCTTAAAAGTTATCAATGCTGTTATTAAGATAGAGAAGTGAGATCATCAGCACAGGTGACAGCACAGGCCGGGCTGCTGGGGAGGCTGAGGGAGAGTGTCCAGCCTATTCTGCCAGCTGGGCCTTGCCAGGGGTGTCTCGTGACCCAGTCCCTTAGAGAAACATGCAGACATCTCAGCAAGGAGCTGGAAGGTGCAGATCAGGGCAGCCCAGCACCACTGATGGTGGAGTGGGGCTACCTCCCATTAAGCTGTGTCTCCACAGCTGACCCATGGAGCCAGGAGGTGATTTACAACATCTGCAAGGCAGTCAGCTCCATCAGCTGTATGCCCTTCAACATTCACTTCAACTCAAATATCCCACCAGAAAGCAGTGGGGACTGGCCAATGCAGCAGCCCTGCAAAGTGGAACAGAGCATCCTGGGGTGGGGAATCTGGGGCCTGCCTGCTCATCTGAGCACTGGTCCTTGGGGGTGTGCTCTGCAGGCTCCCTGAAGGAGGGCTGTGAGCTCATCAGGGAGACCCTGAGCCTGTGTAACATGCCTAAGGCCATGTCCATAGGGATTTGTGCCTACTTGCACCTCCTTGCTCATCTCACTACACTATTGGTGACTGTGCTGAGGTGGGCCTCGAGCATCCCCTGGGCTGTGTCAGCACAGGGCTCTGGGCCTGGTCTGGCATTAAGGGATGGCAAATAAGGGGCCTGGGTTTGCATTGTCACCTCCTGTAGTTCCAGAAAATGAGGAAGTCCAGACCTGCAGTAATGGAACCCTATCAAAGGGGTTAGGAGGAATCTCACTTTCCCTCAGGGCCCCATGTGGAGGAGCTGAGGGAGGTTAAGGAGACCCTGGGGACTCATTTGTTCTGTCTGGGCTTCCCCCAGCTCCACCCTTTGATAACCATTTTCTGGGAAGAGCTCAGGAAGCTCTTGTGCTGTAGTGAGGTGGGGCCTTCCCTCACAGGGTATTGGTGAGGAGGCATTCTGAGACTCTGTGAGTGAGAAGCTAACACAGTGCCTGGGAATACTCATGGGATCTGTCATCCTCTGTGACCATCACGTGACCTTGTAGTGTTCAGACTGCCTGGCCTGGCCTTGGGCTTGCTAAGGCTGTTTTGGGGTCAGCTGCTTTAGATTCCCACTTTCTCTGCATTCAAACAGTGACTGTTTTAGTGTTTGTTTATGGGTTTAAAAAATCCTAATATTTCATTTATAGTAGTTTCAGCTTGTATGTGTGTATTTGTATAAATTTTATTAGAAGAAAGAGGGCTGAAGGCAACAGCATTTTAATAAGGTCTTAATGGGGCATAGACTTTTATGTCACAACAGCTAATACTGACCTATTTTTCTACCTTTGCATAAAGTATACATAGAAAGTGTAGCCAGAGGTGGTGAGGCTAAGTGTCTAGAGCTGAGCTGCTTGGGCTTGCTTGCTGGTCTGCAGTCAGGTGGACTCTGGATGTGAGGCAGTGCCCACCCTGGATCTACATCCCCCACCCTCTCTCCTTAGTCCCTGAGTAACCAACACAAGGCAGTGCTAATGAGCAGGGGAGTGATGGGCATCAGGAACCCCAATACTATCTGGGAAGATTTGAATGCCTTCTGGGCTGGGGCTGTTGGGGGTAGGGGCTGTGGCTGCCTTGGCTTGTCAGGGTGCCACCCACAGATGTGCCTGCCCTGTGCTGCTTCTCCAGCAGCCGGCTGCCTATGGCCCTGTGCCTGTCACACCATGCTTGCTACCTCATGCTACTTGTGTTTGAAAAACCATCCTGAGATGGTGCTGCTGGATGTGAGTGCTTAAAAGGGGGCAGCACCTTTGTCCTGGGGGATTAGGAGCTGACCAGATTCCTCCTGACTCCCTCCCAAAACAAGTGGGGCTGGTGCTGCAATCAATGATGCCCCCCAGAAGATGTGTTTGCACTAGCTGAACAAATACATGTTGCAGAGGCCTAAATGAAGACACATGAATGGGGTGTGTGGACATCAGTTAGCAGCTGGGAAACAGGTGCCTCTCAGGACTCTCATTCTTCAGCAAGTGTGGAATGTGCCCATGCCCTTGAGTGTATACATCTGGAGTGTATACATCTGGCTCTTGCTTCTGCTGCCACTATCCCCAGGCCCAATCTGGCTTAAAGTGCACGTTTTAAGTAAAAAAGAAAAGAGGATTTTCTGTGTTCTGGGATAGGAAGCCAGGGATCTGTGTAGGGCTGCGGTTGGGTGCACATTAGTTTTGTGACAGGATGAGAGCTGCAGTGGTTTTATTAATCGTGATAGCCTGGGCTGGTTGTAGCTCCAGGTGAGGGGGAGGAAGTCAGCAGTGGTGGTCCCAGAGACATCCATGTGCCCAGCCCTGGCCTTCCTGACATCAGGCACAGCAAAAGGCACTGCCACAGGCCCCGACTTCCTTCCCTACTCTCTGCAGCCCAGATGGGAAAACTTGGAGGCTACAATCTGAATATATTTTTCTCCCATTTTAACCTGAGCTGCCTAACACACAGTGGGGGCAGGGTGGGTGAAGGGCCTGGGGGAAAGCAGGGCTGGATCATGGATCCTGGGGGAAATTTAGAGATACAGAAGTGGTTGTCACCTCTCTGTGGAACCCAGCTCCATACCTGGTCCTTGCCACACAGCCCTTTCTACAGAGAATAGCTCTGGGGCGTTTGAGGATCCCTATGGCCCTGGGTGGCTTCCTGTCCCCCGCTGCCTGTGCTGCTTCCCTTGCCTGCTGTCAGAGCCCAACATGGAGGAGGAGGTTGCAGCCCTGGGAGCCTGAGGGAGCTCTTCCCTTGCCTGCTGGCAGAGCCCAACATGGAGGAGGAAGTTGCCGCCCTGAGAGCCTGAAGGAGCTGTGTCTGACTGGGGCTTCTGCCTGGGGGTTTGCAAAGAGCTACTTATGAATATAGTCTCTCCAGATTCCTTGTTTCAAAGGAAGTGAGCATGAGCTAGCAAGTGTAGCAACCCCACAGCTGATAAACAACTTTGTCTTGGTTTTAAACCATCACATCTTCATTTCACATTGGAATAAAGTAAGTGAAACCTGCTACCGCAGCCTTGCCCATGTGTTCTGTAACCCAGTCTCCTTTGGTTGTGAGGGCTGTTGTCAGTAATGTTATAGAAAAGATTATGCATAAATTAAATCAAATGTAAAATTATGCTTATAATGTCACTTGAGTGAAAGGTAAGAGGGTAGCGTCACAGGCACTCAGCTGGGGTTTACCCACCCATCACTTACCACGCTCATGAGAGTGTGGCACAGGTGAATGTCACCTGACATTGGTGACAGAAGAGAAAAGGCCGGCATGAAGGCCAGGTAGGGGAGAGGTGCCAGACTGTGGGGCCAGGCCCTAGACATGCTGGACCTGTGAGGTCACTGAACATCTAACTGCCCAGGCACTGGCCCTTTTCACATCAGTTGAGGTAAGAGGATGGGGGAGCACTCTCTGGAAGTCACACTGCGCTGGGAGAATGGAGGAGAGTCTACAACTCACCATCCTAGTGTAGGTTTTAGAGTGAGATTGGCTGTCTTGGAGAGCTAATGAGATGGGAGGAAAGCAGTCCCCCAGGTGCATCTGAGGGCCACAGCCTATGAAGTAAGCAGTGTGTGTGGGAGTGGCCTGTCCCTGTGAGAGGAGAAGTTTAAAGCTATTACAGCTGGTGGCTGCTGCTCAGCCATCCCTCTGCAGAGCAGGCAGGTCCTCAGCTGCATGTATATCTGAATGTCTTTTGGAGTGTTTAGAGGGTCCTCTATGTCTTAGAAATTTTGAAAAGAAAAACAAATTTCAATTCTAATGTTTATTAGTTTCCCTGAGCCAATTGGAAAAAAAATGTCCTTCACCTCGAAGTTTTAAGTGACACCCAAGGGTAGCCACCAGTGTCTCAGCCACTGAAGCCTTGTGCATGCTCCCACTACCAGTTTGATTTGCAGCCTCATGGTTGTGTTGTACTAAATGTTCTTTCTTCTGGCCTTGTCCAGTGAAAACGGTTCACATGGCTAACACGACTTCTTGAGATACGGGCACCATGTAAAGCTGAGAAAGGATTGGGTTTAGTTACTATTGTGCTTCCTCCTCTCCCGAGAGGCCCATTTTTCCTGCTTTATTCATTAAGTGTACTAGTGCTGTCAGTCACCTTTGGACAACTCAAATGACAAGTGGCTGTTGTTTCATAAAGAAAATGAAGGCTTTAGATGTGAAACCCTCCTTTTCTCTTCTGCTTCTCTTAGGTGAAAGACTTTATTTTTTTAAAAAGGGTACATAATGGTATCCCAGCAGGTGTAGTGTGATAACTGGCATGTTCTAGGCTATGGTTTCAGTGTGTATGGGCAATTCTTCAAGATGGAAAACGAAGTTTCACTGATTTGCTGGAGCCGCACTCACCTTTCTCCACATCCCCCACCATGGGCTTTCACTTTTCTCCCGGGCTTGAAATTTTCACATCCATATTGTTTATACACACACACACACACACACACACACACACACACATCTTTCTGTCAGTGCAGTGGCTGAATCATGGGTCAGTGCAGCCTCAAACTCTTAGGCTCGAGTGATCCTTTCACATCAGCTTCTCAAATAGCGAGGACTACACTACAGGCATGCAATGCTACACCCAGCCAATTGTAAAATTTTTTTTGTAGAGGGTGAGCCTACTTATGTTGCCCAAACTCGTCTTGAACTCATAGGATCCAGCAATCATCCCACTTTGGCCTCCCAAATTGTTTACATTACAAGTGTGAGCTACCAAACTCAGCCAAAAATATTTTTTAAAGAACAGTTACAACCAAATTATGAGTTATGATTGTGCCACTGCCCTCCAGCCTGGGCACCAGAGCAAGACCTAGTATCCAAAAACAAAGCAAAACAAAACAAGAACAAAAAACCTTATAACCAAATTAAACTTCGAAGATTGTGTCATCTGTGTCCCTCTCTGCCCTCCAGTTATCACCGTTAAATGTAACGGTTATTGAGAAAACGGTTAAATATTATTAAGAAATTTCTATATCTACTCCAGCTGAGAATAGGTATTCTGATGTGGCCAAAACATTTTCTCACTGCTACCTTCAGGGTCTAAACTAGCAAACCAAATCAGGACACCTGCAGAGGACACTTGGCCATTTTCAAATAGAAACAGAAACACCCCCATTAATGAGAGTAATCCAGTGATTTTCAAAAAGTCAAGTCAGACTGACATGCAGCACAGTCAGGGCACAATTACACTGGAATAATCACTTAACACAGAATGGTTGTGGAGCCTTTCTAAGATGAGCAAATATGGGCAACATCATTCTTGCTTATTTATTCCCAGCCCCTGCTGCCCGCCTTATTCTGGCCTGATTCTGGCCCGCCTGATAATGGCCACCCTACGATGTGGTCAGCAGTGAGGTGCAGCATGGTGAGAGAGGGGCTCAGGGATGGGATGAGGGTCTTTCCTACATTATGAAAATGCCTAATAAGTTGTTAAAAAGATGTCCAAATGTTCTACTTCCTACCCTTAAATAGCTGCTAAGATGCATGACTCAACAGATCCTGGTAAGGGAAAGAGCATGCGCATTTCAAGTCTCAGCTCACTTCTTAATTAGCTGTGATACTCTGGGCATGTGACCCCAACTATTCGAGCCTGTTTGCCTGTCCACCCAAGACAATCCTAAGCAAAAACAACAAAGCTGGAGGCATCATGCTACCAGACTTCAAACTATACTTCAAGGATACAGTAACCAAAGCACCACGGTACTGGTACCAAAACAGATATATAGACCAATGGAACAGAACAAAGACCTCAGAAATAACACCACACATCTACAACCATCTGATCTTCGACAAACCTGACAAAAACAAGCAATGGGGAAAGATTTTCTATTTAACAAATGGTGCTGAAAAAACTGGCTAGCCATAAGCAGAAAACAGAAACTGCACCCCTTCCTTACACCTTAAACATTATCTCAAGATGGATTAAAGTCTTAAATGTAAAACCCCAAACCATAAAATCCCTAGAAGAAAACCTAGGCAATACCATTCAGGACATAGGCATGAGCAAAGACTTCATGACTAAAATACCAAAAGCAATTGCAACAAAAGCCAAAATTGACAAATGAGATCTAATTAAAGAGCTTCTGCATAGCAAAAGAAGCTATCATCAGAGTGAAAAGCAACCTACAGAATGAGAAAATTTTTGCAATCTATCCATCTGACAAAGGTCTAACATCCGGAATCTACAAGGAACTTAAACGAATTCACAAGAAAAAAAAACCCCATCAAAAAGTGGGCAGAAGATATGAACAGACCCTTCTCAAAAGAAGATATTTGACTGAGTGTGGTGGCTCACACCTGTAATCCCAGCACTTTGGAAAGTGGAATCAGGTGGATCATGAGGTCAGGAATTTGAGACCAGCCTGGCCAAAATGGTGAAATCTCATCTCTACTGAAAACACAAAAAATTAGCCAGGCATATTGGCAGGTGCCTGTAATCCCAGCTTCTTGGGAGACTGAAGCAGGAGAATCACTTGAACCCGGGAAGCAGATGTTGCAGTGAGCCAAGATCCTGCCACTGCATTCCAGCCAGGTTGACAGAGCAAGACTTTGTCTCAAAGAAGAAGAAGAAGGAGAAGAAGAAGGAGAAGAAGGAGAAGAAGAAGGAGAAGAAGGAGAAGAAGAAGACATTTATGTGGCCAACAAATATTTAAAAAAAAATCTCATCATCACTGGTTATTAGAGAAAGGCAAATTAAAATCACAATGAGATACCATCTCACGCCAGTTGGAATGGCTATTACTAAAAAGTCAAGAAACAACAGATGCTGGTGAGGCTGTGGAGAAATAGAAACGTTTTTACACTGCTGAAGGGAGTGTAAATTAGTTCAACCATTGTGGAAGACAGTGTGGTGATTTCTCAAGGATCTACAAGCAGAAATACCATTTGACCCAGCAATCCCATTACTGGGTATATATCCAAAGGAATATAAATCATTCTACTATAAAGACACATGCACATTTACGTTTATTGCAGCACTGTTTACAATAGCAAAGACTTGGAACCAACCCAAAAGCCCATCAATGATAGAGTGGAAAAAGAAAATGTGGCACATATACACCATGGAATACTATGCAGCCATAAAAAAGAATGAGTTCATGTCCTTTGCAGGGACGTGAGTGAAGCTGGAAACCATTTTCCTCAGCAAACTAACACAGGAAACAGGAAACCAAACACCATATGTTCTCACTCATATGTGGGAGTTGAACAATGTGAACACATGTACACCGGAAGGAAACATCACACGCTGGGGCCTGTTAGGGGGTTGGGGTCAAGGAGAGGGAGAGCATTAGGACAAATATCTAATGCATGTGGGGCTTAAAACCTAGATGGCAGGTTGATAGGTGCAGAAAACCACCATGGCACATGTAAACCTCTGTAACAAACCTGCACGTTCTGCACATGTATCCCAAAACTTGAAAAACAAAGAAACAAACAAAAATGCACTAACGCTCAGGGTGAGTGGGGTAGGGGCTGGGGTGAGGCGCGGGTGGGTGGGTCCTGGCGTTTTATTCAATCAGTGGCGCTTGTGTGGGAACCACCCAATAAGGTGCGCAGTTTGAGAAGAGAGGAGGGCGTGGCTTCTGGCGTTTGGCGGGGCCTTTGTCTCTCGCTGATGCTGGTGCAGGAGCCTGGGATCCATCTCTTCTTTGGCCTCCTCCACCTTGGGAAATCCAGACAACTCCCTCACAGCCCCTATTGCCCTGTGATCTGTAGGTCCTTGGGGACGCATAGTTAAGTGCTGTTACCATGGGGCGGTCCTTGCTCCCAGAGCTCCCAAGATGGTGGCAGGCCACTTCCATAATTTTGGCAGGCCACTTCCAAGATGGTGGCAAGCCTCCTGTTCTCTGACCTGGGGCTCTTGGCCTCACGGATTCCAAGGAATGGAATCTTGAGCCATGCGGTGAGTGTTAAAGCTCTATTAGAAGCTGTGGGTCACGGAAGAGAACCGTGGAACCCAGTGACTAGTGTTCAGCTTGATTAGGATGAACCCAGGCACTTAGCCATGCAGGAACAATGGCGAGCCTTTAGCCCTATTGGGAGTGGCAATGGGTGCCTCGCTGGATCAGGAGCACAGCGGACACCTTGCTAGCCAGGATGGTCTTGATCTCCTGACCTCATGATCCGCCCGCCTCGGCCTCCCAAAGTGCTGGGATTACAGGCGTGAGCCATTGCGCCCAGCCAAGAACTGTCTTCACAACAATTGGTGCTGGGGAAATTATATACCCACATGTAAAAGAATGAACCTGGGCCCTTCACTTATACTGTAAGAAAAAATTAACTAACTGGATCAAATACCTAAATGTAAGAGCTAAAACTACAAAATTCTTAGAATAAAATATAGGGGAAACACGTCATAACACTGGATTTGGCAGTTTTCTTTTTTAAACAGGACACCCAAAACACAAGAAACAAAAGAAAAATAGACGAATAGGAATCTATACAGAATATACAAAGAACAATTCAGCAACAATAAAACAAACTACTTGTTTAAAATATTGGCAAAAACTTAAGCAGACATTTCTCTAAAAATTATGTAAAGTGGCTTATAAGCACATGAAAAGACGCTCAACAAAACTCATCATTAGTGAAATGCAAATCTAACCCCAAATGACATATCACTTAACATCCATCAGCATAACTACTAACAAAAGAAAAAAAAACAGAAAATCAGAAGTGTTGGTGAGGACGTGGAGCAATTAGAATCCTTGTACACTGTTGGTGGAAATGTAAAATGCTGCAGCTGATATAAAATAACAACACAGTAACTAAAAAATTTACACATAAAATCACCATACAATCCAGCAATTTCACATCTGGGTATGCAGCAAAAGATATGAAAGCAAAGACACAAAATAATACACATACACCTAGGTTCATAGCAGCATTACTCACATCACCAAAAAGGTGTTTGAATTACTCAAATGTTGTTTGAATTACCATCAATGATTAATAGATAAAATGTGATTTATACATACAGTGGAATGTTATTCAGCTACGTAAAATAAGGAAATTCTGACACATGGTACGTCATGCATGAACGTTAAGGACATTGTCCAAAGTGACATGAGCCAGTCATAAAAGGACAAATACTGAATCATTCCACTTATGAGATACTTAGAGTAGTTAAATTCTAGATACCCAAATAGAAGAGTGGTTCCTAGGAGCTAGAGGGGGAGTAACAAGGAGCTTATTTAATGGGTATAGAGTTTTGTTTCTGCAAGTTGAAAGAAGGTCCCTATGAGTGGTAATGACAGTTGCAAAACTATGTGAAAGTAGTTAATTTTTCTGAGCTGCACACTTAAAATAGCTAAAATGGTTAATTTTATGTATACTTTACCACAATGTAAAAAATAATTTTTAATTAAACTATAGCTATCTGCAATATCATGAATTAATATCATAAATATAATGTTGCATAGAAGAAAGTAGATGTAAAAGTATACATATTACACAATCTCACTTATATAAAATCCAAAAAGTGAACACAACTGAGCTTCTGGCGTCCAGTAATAATGAAGTAAAGTAGTTTGTTGAACACTTCACAGATAACTATAACAAAGCTCTTTGGTCACAGGGCTGCAGCACTGCAATCCCAGCATGCACCAGGCTCAGGGAGAGTGCGCTAATCACTGGAGGAAGGGACGAGGCTCCACGCGTCTCGCTGGTCTTGCTGGGAGATGCAGTCTCATAAACACTCCCAGCCCTTTGGTCACAGGGCTGCAGCACTACAATTCTAGCATGCACTGGGCTCCGGGAAAGTGCGCGTCACTGGAGGAAGAGGCAGGGCTGTGCGCGCCTCCCTAGGATTGTTGGAAGATGCATTCTCATAAACACTCCCAACCCTTTGGTCAAAGGGCTACAGGACTACAATCCCAGCATGCACCAGGCTCCAGGGCAAGGCACAGCCCTGGAAGAAGGGGCAGAGTGGTTCCCGCCCCACCTAATATGCTGGGAGCTGTAGTCCATTAACTACTCTCAGCCTGTTTGTCGGTAAGCTTCAGAGCTATAATCCCAGCATGTACCGGGATCCGGGGTCCATAGCCCTGGAGGGAGGGGCAGAGCGGTGTGGACTTCCCGGTGTCCAAAGCACTGCTGAGTTCTGATGCTATGCCGACTCTTTGCAAGGAGAGTGACTACAGAGGTGCACCTGGAGGGCAGGTCTGGGCTGAGCATTGAGGAGGGTATTACCCTACAAAGATACCTTACCTTTTCCCAAATCGGGTGGGTTGTCCTCACCCACTTGGCCCTATCCTTCTCAGGTTCCTCTTTCAGTTGCACCCAGGGTTCTTTCCAGAGCAGTACGTCTTCTGCAGCCCAGGGTGCTGCCTTCTTTCCTAAACTGCGTGAGAACTTTCCTGATGTCCAAGACACTGTCCGTTGTGCCGCAGCCCTCTTTTTTCTCTAGCCAGAGCACACACTCAACCGTTTTTGAGAAAAATCTTCCACCTGGCCTGCTTGTGAGCAGCTTCAGAGCTCTGCAGGGGTGACAAAGGCTGTGGCTTCCTGGAAAGGTCACTCTCAATGGCGCCTTTTTCACGAATGTGAAAGTCTAGGCATCAGAAAGGTTAATTATTGGGTTGCATAAAATCTGCTAAGAGCAAAGGAAAAACCCCATTTCTGAGGCGTGAGCCTTGTGAGCCATTTTCATCAACCCACTTAAGTGGACAAGCTCCAAAATGCAACCTGAAGCTACTGACTATTTAGGCATTTTACACTTGAAATAATTGGTCTCATCTCAAGTCAGGCCTAGCTTGCCAGTGGCTCAGAGCCACAGATGGGCTACAGCATCCCCACACTATCAGAGTCTTCTGTAGAATCTAAGCTTGTTTCACCTCCTCCTTATGCTCCTTTCTATCGGCCTTTGCCAGGTACAATAGAGACCAGCCCAGCTGCAGTTACTCACAGTGGGACTTCACACCATCCAGGGCCAGAGAAATTGCTCCCCTTAAAGAAAGTCCCAAATGGAGAGAGGATCATCAGAGTGCTTGTTCTACTCTCAATAAACGATCTCATCCAATATAAGCAACAACTTTGATGGCCCTCAGACAACTTCAGCGCATTAACTGAAGGCTTCCAGGCTCTAACTTTGACCACCATTCAACTGTACCATCCAGAAATGGACCGAATGACTGCTGCCAACTTAGCTGCACAAAATTTTGCCTATTAGCAAAAAATAGAAAATACTTAAAACGTTTGTTGCTTTCACCATTTTAATGCAAAATACTTTTGCAGCATAAATGTCACCATAAGGTGGAGCCTTGGGAATCCAGTATAAACTATCTCAGAAAACCTCAATGGGTCCACAACAAGCAGCAGAGGGCCTCAATAGACTTCAACAACGTCTGGACTCCATGGCCACTGTAGTCCGACAAAAGCAAAGAGCCTGGGATCTTCTCCCAGCCAGGCAAAGAGGAACATGTTTATATCTAAAAGAAGAATGCTGTTTTTGAGATCAATCAGCCCGGTTTAGTCCAAGAAAATATTAATAATATCATCACCCAGGCAGACAAAATTGAATCTCTAGGAACTTCCATGGGACCATGAAAGCAATGTCTATTACCTGCCTTACTCTCTTTAATAGTAACAGCCATTACTATAATTTCAGGTTTTACTTTTGTTCCAATGTTGTTTAAAATGTGAACTGATTTCTTGCTCTCTTGCTTACAGCAACTCCATGTTTGCATGATGGTTTTGCAAGGCTTTCAACATTTGGCTGCCAACATCTTCCCCACTGGTTCCACGAATTACATGGTTTACAGCCAGTTAGATCACACAGGAAGAAACTTTAGGGCCCAGACTAGGCAGAAATAACACCCACTCAGCAGGAAATAGCTCCAGAAAAAGTAACCTAGCCCCTCAACCTCCAATATGATTATGACCCTAAGATCTCTTAGGGGGAAGCTGAGGCAGAATAGATCAGAATAGATAGTCAAGAAAATGACCATGATCTCGGGATACAGAAATGTGGGGAAAAGAAAGAGAGATCAGACTGTTACTGTGTCTATGTAGAAAGAAGTAGACATAAGAGACTCCATTTTGCTCTGTACTAAGAAAAATTCTTCTGCCTTGAGATGCTGTTAATCTGTAACCCTAGCCCCAACCCCATGCTCACAGAGACTTGTGCTGTGTCAACTCAAGGTTTAATGGATTTAGGGCTATGCAGAATGTGCTTTGTTAAAAAAGTGCTTGAAGGCAGTATGCTTGTTAAAATTCATCACCACTCTCTAATCTCAAGTACCCAGGGACACAATACACTGTGGAAGGCCGCAGGGACCTGTGCCTAGGAAAGCCAGGTATTGTCCAAGGTTTCTCCCCATGTGATAGTCTGAAATATGGCCTCCTGGGAAGGTAAAGACTTGACCATCCCCCAGCCTGACACCCATAAAGGGTCTGTGCTGAGGAGGATTAGTAAAAGAGGAAGGCCTATTTGCAGCTGAGATAAGAGGAAGGCATCTGTCTCCTGCTCATCCTTGGGCAATGGAATATCTCGCTGTAAAACCTGATTGTATGTTCTATTTACTGAGATAGGAGAAAACTGCCCTAGGGCTGGAGTTGAGACATGCTGATGGCAATACTGTTTTTAATGCACCGAGATGTTTGTATACATGCACATCAAGGCACAGCAACTTTTCTAACTTTATTTATGACACAGAGACATTTGTTCACATGTTTTCCTGCTGACCCTCTCCCAACTATTACCCTATTGTCCTGCCACATCCCCCTCTCCAAGATGGTAGAAATAGTGATCAATAAATACTGAGGGAACTCAGACCAGTGCCAGCGTGGGTCCTCTGTATGCTGAGCGCCAGTCCCCTGGGCTCACTTTTCTTTCTCTATACTTTGTCTCTGTGTCTCTTTCTTTTCTCAGTCTCTCATTCCACCTGATGAGAAACAACCACAGGTGTGGAGGGGCAGGCCACCCATTCATTGAAACTGTGGTAACTGTACAGCCAAGACAACGAGCCTTAGCATTCACATTGTAATTGGGCTCATTCAAGCAAAGCTATCTTCATTAAGGACTTTCTGTTCTAGAGAGCATGTGCATTTTGATTTTACCTGTCCTCAAACTTAACTTTTGCTTATTTTAATAGCAAAAAATACACTCCCCAGCTGGGTACGGTGGCTCACACCTGTACTCCCAGCACTTTGGGAGGCTGAGAAGAATGGATCACTTGAAACCAGAAGCTCAAGACTAGACTGGCCAACATAGTGAAAGCCCATCTCAACTAAAAATACAAAAATTAGCCAGGTATGGTGGTGCATGCCTGTAATCCCAGCTACTCAGGAGGCTGAGGCACGAGAATGGCTTGAACTTGGGAGGGAGAGGTTGCAGTGAGCAGAGATTGCACCACCACACTCCAGCCTGGGCAACAGAGCGAGACTCTGTCTCAAGCAAACAAACAAAAATACACTCCTGGCTAGAGGTCTAAGATGCTAATGAGACATGCAAAATATGAGTAAGCATGTACAGCTACTGCACATGTGCACCCAGAAGACCACTCAGAACAGGCTTACTAGCAGCTCCTCTTCCCCCCTCATTATTAATAATAATATAAAACTCCCATAAGGGGGTTTCTCTAGCGACAATCCACGTTGTCTCACTCTTATGAGCAGCCCGCCCTGGAATATCTCTCTCATGGTGTACTGTATTCTGCACTTAACTTTCAAATTTGTTTTCTTTTCCAATAAATTATGCTGTACTTCTTTTCTGTGTGTCTCTTGTTTAAACTATTATAAACTAAGAAGACAAGGACCGAGGTATTACATCAGCTCTCAACACAGCAATAAATCAGCCTCCTTCCTGTGGGCATAGTCCATGCAGAAAAGGAGTCACATCACCTAGGTGCTGGACCCAGAGATACATCACAATTTATCCTATGCACAAAGTTAAGGGGATAGAGGAGAGTCATATTAGTTTCTGGCCCAGGGATATGTCACAATGGCTCCTGTGAGCAGAGATCAGGCAGAATAATCACATAACGGTTGTGCTGGATACAGCGATAAACCACACTTTCATCTGTGGGAACGACCCAGGCAAGAAAGAAGAGTCACAGCATTTAGGTGCTTGCTGCAGAGGTACATAACAATATCTCTTATGGGCAAAGCCCAGGAAAGAGAGGAGAGTCACATCTCCAAGGTACTAATGTAGAAATATGTCACAAAAACTTTTTAGGCAGGGCCCATGCTGGATCTTCTTATCTTCCAGATGTTAGGTGCAGGGATATGTCAGAATACCCAAAATACACAGGGCTTAGTCAAAAAAGGAAAGCCACATCACCTAGGTTCTGGGTCTAGACATATATCACGTCTCTTTTATGGGAAAACCTCAGGTGAAAAAGCAGTTCACATCAAATAGTTGTTAGGCAGAGAGACATGTCACGTTGCCTCCTGCTAGGCCAAAGACTCACATCTTCTTGGTGCTAGGCCCGTGTTCATGTATAAATATTCAACCAGAGATGAAATGGTGGCTCATTTATAAACGCAGCTTATAGGCAAGGGAGGACTCCCCTATCCTGACCTAGTTAATTGTAATGACGTTGACTCTCATACCCGGGCTTAATGCCACAGCTATGATCATGGGTCCCTACCAGCAGGAAGGTCTCAAAGTTGATTGCAACTGTCATTCATACTGTATAGCGCCATTGGGTAGTACACAGAGAGTGCTAACTGGGTCGAGCACACAGGTGAGACTGTGGAACTCATATGCACACCCAGCCAACAGTAAATATTCTCATCCTCTCACAGGAACACAGGTCACTGTTGAGGTGCTGAATCTCACACCTGTAGTCAGCCAAAGGTGGGAAAAATTGACTTATATATGGATATATATGTCCATATATATCCATGGGTTGGTGACTCTCAGACCAAGATTCAGCACAACTGTGAGGCTGTGACTTCACTAAGGTGACACAGTCTGCAGAGGAATTGAGGCTCTCATGCACAAATCCAGTCTGGTGTTGAGATGGTTACTTGTGGGCTTAGACCCAACATACAAGAGGTGTTGAATGTCATGCCTACAACTGTGACAGTTGTGGGATTGTTAATCTTATTCCCGGACCATTCTGCAGGTTTCATGATGAAATTTCCCAGTGCCTAGCACCTGAGTGACTTGACGCTCTTGCATGGACCCAGCCCACAGATGGGATATTAACATATTGCTGGATCCACCACCTTGAGGGTGCAACTGTATTCTCCTTCCTTGGCACTGCCCACAGTGAGCATTTTGACATATTGCTAGACCGTGCACCCAGGTGATGTGAGTCTCCTCTTCCACCTTAGCCTGCCCACAGGAAGCATTGTTCTATATAGCATGGCCTGGCACCCAGGTTATGTGACTCTCCAGCTTGTGCCTATATGGGACACTGTGGTATATTGCTGGGTCCACTACCCAGGTGATGTAACTCCTCTGCCTGGGCCCTGACTGCAAGGGGCATTGTGACAGATCTCTGTGCTCACTGGCCAGGTAATGTGATTCTCTTTTCCTGTCTGGTCCCTTTACACAGAAGAGATTGTGACAACTTGGGCTTAGCACCAAGTTGATGTGAATCTTCTGCCTGGATCAAGTTCACAGAAGGCCTTGTGACATACCTCTGTGTCCACTACCTATTTGATGTGACTCTCCTCTCTTACATGAGCATTGCCTATAAGAGAGATTGTGACATATCTTTGGGCCAAGCACCAGGATGATGTGACTCTTCTCCCTGCCTCGGTCATGCCCACAAAGGGAAGTGTGACTTATAACTGGGCACAGCACACAGGTGAAGTGATTCTTCTGCATGGTCCCTACCTACAGGAGTCATTGTCAAATACCTCTGGGCCCATCATCTAGACTATGTGACTCTCTAGTTCTTCCTAGGGCCTGCTCACAGTAAGGATTATGACATATTACTTTGCCCAGTACCTACATGATGTGACTTTTCTCTCATGTCTGGGCTCCATCTTGGAGATGAATGTGACACACAGCTAGGCCTGTCCCCTAGGTTATGTAACTTCTCCTTTTTCAAAATCCTACTCACCAGGGGCATTGAAACATCTCTCTGCGCACTTCACTTAGGTAATGTTACCCTGTTGCCTGGAGCCTCCCCTCAGGGGGTATTGTGACACATTGCTGGACCCAGTACCTATGTGATATGCTCTCCTTTCTTGCCTGGGCCCTGTATACATTGTGTATTGTAATATATGGCTGGGTTCAATGACTAGATGATGCAATTCTTACGCATAGGCCCTACCCACAGGGACATTGTGACATTTCTTTAGCTCTGACTCTCCTCTTCTGCCTTAGCCCTGCCAAAAACAGAGGTGGTGAAATATAACTGGACCTAGCAACCAGCTAATATGACTCTCATCTTTTGCCTGCACCGACATATTTTGGGTATTGTGACATATCATTTATCTCAACACCTGCAGGATGAAAGGCTCCTTCCTGAGCCCAGCCATCAGTAAAAATTGTCATTCTCCCACATGGACACAACCCATAATTGAGGTTCTGAATCTCACACCCAGAGGCAGTCAAAAGTTGGAAAGTTGGCTCTCATAAGTGGATGTTGTCCACAAGTGGGTTTGTGAATCCCTGAACAAGATCCAAAACACTTGTGAGGCTGTGACTCCACTAAGATAACTCAATTTTCGAAAGGCATTAAGCCTCTCATGGAAAAATCCATTCCACCATTGAGATTGTGACTTATGTACATGGACCCAACATACAGGAGGCCTTGACTCTCATACCCAGAACTGGCACTTACGTGGGATTGTTAATCTCACCCAGGGACCTTACTGCAGGTGTGATTCTGACGTACACCTCTATGTGGGATTGTTAATCTCACCCAGAGAACTTCCTGCAGGTGTGATTCTGACGTACACTTCTATGTGGGATTGTTAATCTCACCCAGGGATCTTCCTGCAGGTGTGATTCTGACGTACACCTCTATGTACATTGCAGTGAGCCGAGATCGCACCACTGCACTCCAGCCTGGGCGATAGAGTGAGATTCCCCCCCCACCCAAAAAAAAGAGGCAATGACGTTGCTTCCTGCCTCTGCCTGAAGTTAGGGGTCTCTGACCTCTGCTGGCACCTAGCAGTCAAAGTGGATGGGGTCAGGGGTCAACTCTCAGCCAAGCACAGGGCCCTTCCCCTCTTGCTACCCCACACAGGTGAAGCTGCTGGTCATGGCTAACCTGGAGCTGCTCTGTGTCCCACAGTTCCCTGCTGAACCAGTAATATTTATGGGGCACAGTGTGATGTTTCACTGCGTCATACTATATGGTACAGTGAGATGCAGTGAAACATCACATTGTACTCTGTAAACATATGTAACTATCATGTGTTAATTACGTGATACTTCACTGCATCATACTACACGGTACAGTGAGATGCAGTGAAACATCACATTGTACTCCACAAACGTGGACAATTATGTTAATTATATGATGTTTCACTTCATCACACTGTACCACATACACTGTACAGTGATCCAACCAGAGTAATTAGCATATTTAACACTTCAAACATTTATTTCCTTGTGCTAATAAAGTTCAAAATCCTCAATTCAAGCTATTATAGAATAAAAGGTACATTATTATTAGCTATAGTCATCATGCTGTGTAATAGAACACCAGGATTTATTCTTCCTAACTGTAACTTTGTAACCCAGTGACAAAGCTCTCCCCACTCCCTCATCCTTCTGCCATCACTAACCTCTGGTAACCACCATCCTACTGTCTACTTCTATGACATGGACTTCTTCAGATTTCAAGTGAGTGAAAGCACGTGGTCTTTTTCTTTCTGTGCCTGGCTTATTCCACTTAACATAATGTCCTCTAGGCTCATCCATGTTGACAAAAATGACAGAACTTCATTCTGTTTTATGACTGAACATTATTCCTGTGTGTGTGTGTGTGTGTGTGTGTATAACATTTTCTTTATTCATTCTGTAGATGGGCACTTATACACTGTTGGTAGGAATGTAAGTTAGTACAATCATTTCCCATTTCTATAGGGAGAACAGTATGGAGGTTTTTCAATAAATTATAAATAGAACTACCATATGATCCAGCAATCTCATTGCTGGGTTTATATCAAAAGGAAACAAATTAAGCACATCAAAAAAGAGAACTGCACTCTCATGCTTATTAAGCAGTATTCAAAATAACCCAAACCACTATTTCTTCTAAGTATTTCTTAATTTACCTTTTTTTTCATATATTACACCCTAAGCTTTTAAAGGTTTCATGTCTGGTTTCTAATTTCTGAAACTTACGAGTCACTGATTCTTTGTTGCCTTCCTATTTAGAGAGTCTGGTAAAACAATTAAATGCTTTTTATTTCTTCTCAATCTAATCTTCATATATAAATATATTTATATTTTCTATTAATTTGCCTTCTATAACATATATGACTACATTAATTGTGATCAGCATTTCACTTTACTAGCCCTCTTTTTGGCCCAGCCTATTTTAACATGTAATTTGTATGTTGTACATTAAATTGTTTTACAACACTTTCAATACTTTACTTTTCATTTGCCTCGTTTCCAAAGATAGCTTGACAAGCTCGTAGTTTCTTTCCACATTATTTTGGTTTCTTGTTTTTCCATTATATTGACTTAAACATTTAAATATAAATTCAATATCTGAGATTTATGTGCCATATAATTTCTTCTGATGCTTCACCTCAGTAGCTCATCTCCTTGTGTGCAACATAATTTATAATTTAATCCTCATATATGGGAGACACCGCATTCCAATGCCTGCAGGCAGTTTCTCTTTGTTTATTCCATTTGCCTCGTCAGAAGGGAACAACCCACATGGACTTGATGTTCTTGTAATCAGATGCGTCTGAGTGGTGCCCTGGCCTCTTAGGTTGATTACTTCTCTGGATCATTACCTTTATTTACTTCCAGTCCTGGGAGGTTTTCTTAATTTCCTTTCAACTATATTGGGCATTCTGTGAATTCTTGTAACTTCTTGGTGATTTTAATTGTCTGCATTAAGTGTTTAAAGTATATTATTTTTCTGAAAAGCAGAAATATCAATAATTGCATATATGAGTGAAATATTTTACATAGATTTTCTATGGCATCTATCACCATGAGAAATTCCAAGTTTTTTTCATTTGAAACACCCTCTCATCAATAGACCATACTGTAATAATTTGTAGAGTGTGATTACTTTTATACCATTAGAAAATTAATTATATATTATGTACATATTTTTGAAATACTCCACTGCAATAAATAGTATATGGTTAGAAGTATTGTTTTCTCTAACATAAAACTAATATGAGTAAAATTATCTACCTGAATTCAGACCTTTTGGCTTCAATGGCCATTCTGTCCCATTAGTACTTCTCTGATCCATAAAAGACATCATTTGTATTTTTTGTTTAATTCATAATTTATTGAAATGAGTAATTTAAGGTTATAATGTTTTATGGCAATTTAGGACATTTTCAATAAATATATTGAGCTCGAGGCCCTGGCTAAGTATTCCTTTTGTACTCAAAATCAGATTTTTCTGGCACAACTTTTCATTGCCTGCAATGGTATTTATAAAAAGTATGAATGCCAGCACATGGACTATTTCAATACTGTACTCATTTTTTCATGTATAAACATTTCATTAGCTATGAAACAAACCAAATACAAATGCTGAATGTACAGTATATATCAACAAATGCAGATTCTTCACCAAAGAAAACAATAAAAGACGAATTTTCTGTGACATGTCACCTGTTCATTAGTTCTTTAATATGATTTAGGCTATCCCAAATATAATAAAATGTATGCATCACTATTCATGTTGTCTCAACATTTTTTATCTAGGTCCTGAAGGACATAAAAAAGAATGTACATTGTCAGATTTATTTTTATAGATTTTAGATGTTTCTTTTGCTGTATTTTCTGTGCATACTACTATGAATATATGGAGACAAGGACAAATGAGCATTTAAGTGGTTATATGAATTTTGCTTATATGGCTAATTGCTTATATGGATGTTGTAAATGACCAGATAAAATAGTAAAGTTTGATAAACTTATCTGTACCCTGTGAACTTTAGTTCACTTACTGTATAACTTAATTCTGTCACTAATAATTAGTTTAAAAAGTGTTTTTTAAAAGCTGTAAACCACATTTTATTACACATTTCTGAATCAGGAAGGGGTAAACTGTGACCCAGCTTTCTTATACCACTGACTTTTTTGGGGAGAAACATTCTGCAATAAAATAAGAGTTTCCAAACTCTATTTATAAAAAAAGCTTGAGTTTTCTTCTGTGATTAACCTTCACTCCTCAGTCCCTTTTACCCAAGGAATGGTTCCTAGGTCATCTTTTGGAAGTTTAGTTTCTGGAAAGTTTTCAGCAAACCTCTCCTGAGCTTTGTCCCAGTTGTTGTTGTTCTTGTTTTGGAGAAGGTGAGTCTCTTTAACTGAGGATGGTTTGTCTGTCTCCAATCCTGCATGTGTTTGCCAAAGCTGAAGCTGTATTGGAGATTTTATTCTCCCACCATCCCTCCCCAGGCCTTCTCCTGTTTTCAACACATCTTTTTCAACATCTTCTGACCTTTGTCGCTATCAGTAATTTCAGAATGAACAGATGCAGGAGCATCATCTCTTCGGAAATTTCCTTCACTTCCAATCTGCTCCCTATGTTTTCCAGCTCTATCTTTATATTTTTGATTCTCCAGTATTTTATCATCTTTGTAATCTGTATTCTGTAAACCATATTTTACTCGTATATTTTTAAAATCCTTTTCGTCTTTCCAACTCGTTTCCTTCTTAGTTAATGATGGACCAACAAATGATTCATCTTTCTTATCAAGGAAAAGGTGAGCTCTAACCTGCCCTGGTTCACATCCAACACAGCTATTACTGCCAGGGTGAATGTAATAAGATAACACAGTGTCTCCAACTTTCACTTTATCTCCATGCTCAGGTTCATAATGGTCACATTTAGTTTTCAGCTGAACAATCCATTTTCCATTAACAAGTGTTCCATTTTGACTGCCTGATCCAAAAGGACATAACTTTGTAAGTCATGGTCAAAACAGATTTCTGCATGAAACTTACACCAACTTCAGGGATTCGAAGAGTATTCTTCATATCATTTTCTCTTCCAATTGTAGCAGGTTTTACAGCAGTAATGATGAAGAATGATCCTGTCTGTAACACAGGTGATCTCATGACAATTACTCTCGTATATGAGGGCCACAATTTTTCCTCATCTTCCTCCGCAGTATCTTTTGCAGTTGCATTGCCTTTACTGGTAATGCCTTCATCATAACTACCCTCGGTCTGAGAGTCCGTAATTTCACCTTCTTCTGGTTCACTATCAGTCTCTGTGATTTTCTCATCCTTAAAGATGAATTGAGATGTTTTCATTAAGAGGAGATTCTATAGGATTTCCACTAACTGGAACAGTGAATTTTGGGGATTATTTTTGTGATGAATGCCTATTTTAGCTTTTTTTTCCACATTTGTGAAATTGTCTTTCCCGTTGCAGCTTGTATGTTCAACACTGAAGGCTTCTTGATCCTCTGAATTCAAATCCTTTTCCTCATTGTTTTTTTGTAGAAGAATCTGGATCCTTTCTTTTCTCAATTTTTCATTTTTGTTTTGTGCTATAAGTCTGATAAGGTTGCAAATCTACTCGAGAATGAAATCGATAGCGACCACTTTCCACATCACAGTAGTAATAAATTAAATGATAATATATTTGATTCTCAGAATCTTAATAGAAACCAGTGCTGTGGTCAAAATACAGTCCAGTATTTTCATCATAACTAAATCCAGTCTGTGATAAAGCCGCTTCTGCTGCAGCTCTCAAACTTTCAGCTAATGACGAAACTTCTAAGGACGTATCTTGTGCTGCTAATGCAGATGCTGGCTCCTGTGAATTTGAGGCAAATGACCCTGTCTACACTTAACATTTGCTGTCCTATCAGTACCAGGGTGAGCATCATTTTTTTATTTATAACTTGTCGTTAGAATTCAAAGCAGGACTTTCAATATCCTGATCTTGCTGATTTGACAGTTCAGTCACTCACTTTATTTGGAAGACTAACATCATTACAGTAGATCTGATAATAATCTGAGATTGACCAAGGAGCATGGTTCTCTGTGAGTACTTCTACATCAGACTTTTATTATCTCCATTTCTCCCACAGCAGAGTACATTACTGAGCTTTTCTTCCAGCTGCGTGCAGAGCTCCTGGTGGTTGCTCGTGTCGCTCTGAGCAGCCGTCCTGTGCGAGGCCATAGCTTCTCCTGTTCCCGCACCTGCCGCCTGCAGCTCAGCGTTCGGGTTCCAGCTTCTCCGCCCTCCTTCTCCGCTGGGTCAGCTCGGGCTCGGGGAGGGGGAGGAGCGGTCACAGCGAAGGCGCTGGCGGCGGGTACGGGCAGAGGCCGCGAGTTCGGGCGCCAGACGGCTGCGGCCTTGGAGGGGCTGCGTGGGGCCGAAGCGGGGGCCGGCGGAGCCACAGCCACAGGGGCGCGCGGGCAGCCACAGGCAGCCTCCCCGGCCAGGAGGCCCCGAAACGCAGAGCCTAACGGGGCTGCGGCAAGAGCAAGGGAACGGTGATGGCCCTGCCGGATCTGCGTGCCTGGAATCCTGGGAACGACTGTACCTTCCCCAGCCACGGGGGCCGCAGGAGGAGCGTCGAAGTCCAGGGGCCAGAAGTGCTCCGGCCGTTCCCGAGTTGAGCTGGAAACAGTGGCCAAGCGTGTTTTAAATCGAGTTTCCATGTGGCTAGCTATGACCTGCTGGTTACTCTTATTTTTTTCTCCATTCGTTGAGCTATGATTGACTAATTGAAAAGCGTATATTTTTAGGGTGTACAATAGAGTGTTTGGAGATGTCAGTAGTCTTTAAATTACCTCAGTTAAGCTAGTTAGCCTATCTATCCCCTCACATAGTTAATACGTTCCTGTGTGTGTGGTGAGAGCACCTGAGATCTACTCTTGTAGCAAATTTCAAGTACGGAGTATTGTTAACTATAGTCACTATTCTGTACATTAGGTCCCCAGCAGTTACTCACCTTGTAACTGAAGGTGTGCCCCTTCCATGGATATCTCCCCAATTTCCCCACTTCCTAGCCCATGGGAAGCACGGTTCTACGGTTTCCATGGCTTTTTTAAAATTTTTATTTACTTTTTTAGATTTTACATACAAACGAGATCATGCAGTAGTTGTCTTTCTGTATTCGGCTTATTTCACTTAGCATAATGTCTTCAAGATTAATCAATATTGTTGTGGATGAAAGAGTTTCATTTTTATTAAAGCTGAAATTATGTATGTCTCAGTTTATCTGTATCAGAGGAGTGCAGATACCCTTGATGATCCTGATTTTATGTACTTTGGCTATATACTCCTAATTGGGATTAGTAGTAGTTCTAGTTTAAAAATTTTAAGGAACCTCCATACTGTTTTTCATAATAGCTGCACCAATTGACATCCTCAGCAACAGTGCACAAGTGTTCTCTTTTTCCACACCCTAACACTTTTTATCTTTTGACTTTTTGATAATAGGCATCCAAACACCACGATAAGGTGATACCTCATTGTGATTTTGTTTTTAATTACTCTGAAAATTAGTGATGTCGAGCATTTTTTATATACCTGCTGGCCATTTGTATATCTTTGGAAAAATTGCTATTTATATATTTTGCCCAATTATTAATCAAGAAATTGCTTTTAATTCTGCTGTGGGTTTTTTGTATTGATTAGTATGATGTATATTTTGGATAGTAACATATTACCCTATATATAGTTTACAAATATTTTCTCCCATTTCCTATAATGCCTTTATATTTTGCTGATTGTTTCCTTTGTTGTGCAGAAAATTTTAACTTTGACATAGTTCCACTTGTTCATTTTTGCTTTTGTTGACTGTTCTTGGTGTCATATCCAAAACATCATTGCCATGACCAGTGTCAAGGTTTTTCCCCATTTTTTAAGAGGATTCATGATTTCAGTTATTATGTTTAAGTCTTTATTTCATTTCAAATTCATTTTGTGATGACATGAGAGAAAGGTTCACTTTTTTCTGTGCATATCTAGTTTTTCCTACACCACTCCTTGATGTGTTTATCCTTTCTCCATTCTCTGGGATTGGTTGACTGTATATTTGTGAGTTTATTTCTGGGTCCTCTATTCTGTTCTATTGGTTTTTATGTAGGTACTATACTATATTGATGACTACAGCTTTGTAATATAGTTTGAAATCAGGAAGTGTAAGGCTTTCAGCCTTTTTGTTCTTCTCAGTATTTGGCTATTTGAGGTCTTTTGTGGTTCCATACTAATTTTAAAATTGTTGTTCTACATTTTTAATAAAATGGCATTAAAATTTTGATAGAAGTTTAACTCTGTAGATCACTTTGTGTAATATGGATATTTTAATAATATTAATTTTTAGAATCCATGAACACATAATATATTTCCCATTTTGTATTTTTCATTTTCTTTCCTCAACATTTTATAGTTTTCAGCCTGCAGATCTTTCATATTCTTTGTTAACTCATTCTTAAGTATTTCATTCTATTTGATAATATTGTAAATGGAACTATCTTTATTTCTGTTTCAGATATTTTGCTGTTACTGTAAAAAAATGCCACTGATGTTCATATGTTAATATTGTATCCTGAAAATTTACTGACTTAGTTGTTTAGTTATAACAGGTTTTTTTTCTGGTAAAATGGTGGGTATTCTGAATTCTGGTTAAATTGATAGTTGCTATTATCATTTCAAAATTATTTAAAATATGACCAGATGGATTCCTGCTTTCATGAATTCAAAGGAATTCACATCTTCCCATTTGAAATAATTTTGTCTGGTTGACCTAGGCCCCGGGGATCGGGGGCACCCCTTGAGAGCCCGGAGATTCGCTTGGGGGTGGGAGAGAGAAGCCGTCAGAGAAGGGGCTGAGCTGAGGAAGCGGAGAGGGGCTCCGGAGACAGCCGGGAGGAAAGAAGGTCCTGTCAGAGACCCAGTGGGGAGAGAGAATGGGCCAGAAAACCAGGAAGGGTGAGAGTGAGCAACAGGACGGCTTCCCGGCGCGGTAGGGAACTTTGCTGAAACTGCGTGCCCCAGGGAACAGCACGGGCAGGTGGGAGGGAGTGGAGAAGACCCAGTA
This sequence comes from Homo sapiens, assembly GCF_000001405.40. NCBI lineage: Eukaryota > Metazoa > Chordata > Mammalia > Primates > Hominidae > Homo > Homo sapiens. Next base: position 31,212 of record NT_187379.1, read on the forward strand.
CACCCCAAGGTCAGTGTGGAGAAAGGGACATTTCCCGGTTCCTTCGCCTCTGCCCAGCGTTCTGCGGGCATGGCCCCCACAGGGGCAGGGCAGGGGAGGAGGTGGCTCCTGGCAGGCTCGGAGAACTAAGGGGCGCACACCAGCTTCGCAGGGCCAGGGTGACAGGGGAAGCCTGAGATGGCTGCGGATCTTGCTGGCCCAGTGGGTGGGCGCGGGGAATGCGGGAGGGGCCGAGCTCACCGGGCCAGCGCCGGGGCCTGCAGGTGGCCCTGGAGGAATCTGCAAGCACCCACCCGTGCAGCAGGCCTTCCGGGAGACCAGTGTGGACAGCGCCCTGGTCACGCCCTTCCCATCTGGAACATTTGTGAGGCTGGAATTTAAGCTCCGGCAGACAGAGAAGTGGCTGGAAGGACTGGAAGAAAGCCAAGTGCAAAGTCCAGCCTGAGAGGAGGAAGCAGAAATGGCTGACCTGCGTCAAACTGGAATGTGAGGATAAGGTTCTGGGCAGGATGGTTCGCTGCCCTCCAGAGACACAGACTCGGCGGGAGCCTGAGGAGCACCAGGAGGTCGGGAGCAGCTGGGCAGAGCGGGCGGTGAAGACCCCACAGCTGCTGCTTCCCTGCACAGTTCGCCTTCTCCAAGGCCCAGCCCCCAGCGGAGCCCAGTACTGAATCTCATGACGCCCCCTGGAGCCCTGGTGGGGATAACCAGTGGAAGACCCACCTCCCAGGGAGAGGACCCCACTGTATCCCCAGATAATAAAACTGTTCTCTCCCCCCCAAAAAATAAGTAAATAATTTTGTCTGGTCTTTGAAAATGTGTATCCTCTGTGTTCTGGTCCAAATCCTGCCCATTTATCTATATGCCTAATTAGTCCAACTTTTTAATGAAGTTATTTAGCATTCTTTTTAATTATGAAACAAAGCAGTAAATTTGTTAATGGTTTTAATATCATCTAATATGATTGAAAATATGTCAATTTGTCATTGTCAATGAATCTTTGTGTTATTTATTTTACTCTGTTACATATTCTGTACATAAAGGTCTAAGTGGCTTAGAATCTTGCCTAACATATTTTATGTGCTAAGTACTAACTACTCTAATTCATCAAATTATCTTTCTATACCATTCTTAAAATACAATATTATTTTTTATTTATTTTTGTTAAAATTTTTTTGCCTAATCTAATTATTTATGAAAATTATGAGGTCTATTCAGTTTGTCCTCTTGATAAAAGCCAAAGTTTTTTTTTTCTCTCTTTTTTTTTGAGACGGAGTCTCTCTGTTTCCCAGGCTGGAGTGCAGTGACACAATCTCGGCTCACCACAACCTCCGCTTCCCGGGTTCAGGTGATTCTCCTGCCTTAGTCTCCTGAGTAGCTGGGACTACAGGCATGCTCCACCATGCCCGGCTAATTTTTGTATTTTTAGAAGAGACAGGGTTTCACTATATTGGCCAGGCTGGTCTTGAACTCCTGACAACGTGATCCGCCCACCTAGCCTCCCAAAGTGCTGGGATTATAGGCTTGAGCCACCACGCCAGGACTCTTTTTCTAAATCTCTTTATTAATACGTTAGAGAGTACAAATGCAGCTCCCTTACAGATGCATGTTGCATAGGGATGAAGTATGGGCTTTTGGTGTGACAATCATCTGAATGTTGTTTATTGTCCCCATTAGTTATTTTCTCATTCCTAAACCCTCTCCAACCTCCCATCTTTCTGAGTCTCCAGTGTCTATTTTTCCAGTCTCTATATCCAAGTGTATGCATAATTGAGTTCACACTTGCAAGTGAGAAAATACAGATTAGATTTTCTGTTTCTGAGTTTTTTCACTTACAATAATGGCCTCTGGTTTTATTCATGTTGTTGCAAAAGACATGATTTTATTCTTCTTCATGGTTGAGTAGCATTCCTTGGTATACTTGTATAGCACATTTTCTTCATTCGATTATTGATTGATAAATTTAAATTGATTTCATGTATTGGCTATTGTGAATAGTGTTGTGATAAACATGTGAGCATGGGTATTTTCTTTATGTAACAAATTATTTTCCCCTGGGTAGATACCAAGTAGTGGGAATGCTGAATCAAATGGAAGTTCTATTTTTAGTCTATTTTGAAATCTCCATACTGTTTTCCATAGAGATTGTAGAAAGTTACTTTCCCACAAACAATGTATAAATGTTATCTTTTCTCTGTATCCTTGCCGATAGCTCATTTTTCTTCTTTTTAGTAATAGCCATTCGGCATGGTGTAAGTTGGTATCTCATTGTGGTTTTTAATTGGCATTTCTCTGATCATTGACAATGTTGAGCACCTTTTACGTGCTTGTTGACCATTGACCATCAGTGTCTTTTTTTTTAATGTTCATGTTCTTTGCTTGCTTTTTAATGAGGTTACTTGTTTTATTTTTGTTGAGCTGTTTGAGTTCCTTGTATATTCTGGACATTAGATCTTTGTCACATGCGAAACTTGTAAACGTTTATCTTATTTCATAGGTTTTCTTTTCACTGTGTTAATTAAAAAGCTCATTTTCAGGAGCTTTTTAGTTTGAGTTCCTTTTGTCTATTTTTGTTATTGTTACATCTGCTTTTGAGATCTTAGTAATAAATTCTTTGTTCAAGTCAATGTCTAGAAGAGTTTATCCTAGAGTTTCTTCTAGCATGTTTATAGTTTCAGGTCTTGCATTTTAGTTTTTTAACACATATTGAGTTGATTTTTGTATATGGTGGAACATGGGGGTCCCATTCCGTACTTCTGCATATGGCAATATAATTTTTCCAGCACAATTTATTGAATAAGATGTCATTTCTCCAGTGTATGTTTTTGTTGACTTTGTAAAAGATCAGTTGTTTGTAGGTATGTGGCTTTATTTCTAGGTTCTCTATTCTGTACCATTGATCTTTGTGTCAATTTATATCAGTACCATGCTGTTTTGGTTACTACAGCCTTCTAGCATAATTTTAAGTCAGATAATGTAATATCTCCAGCTTTATTCTCTTTGCTTAGATTTACTTTGGCTATTTAGGCTCTTTTTGTGGTTCCATGTTAATTTTAGTGGTTTTTTTTTTTCTAATTTTATAAAAAATAACATTGGCATTTTGGTAAGAATTGCATTTAATATGTAGATTGCTTTGGGCAGTAGAGTCATTTTAACGATCATAATTCTTCCAATCCATGAGCATGGGATGTTTTTCTCATTTGTGTCATGTACAACTTCTTTCATCAGTGTTTTGTAGTTTTCCTTGTAGGGATCGTTCATCTCTTTGACTAATTGTATTTCTAAGCATTTTACCTTTTTTGTAGCTATTGTAAAAGGAAGTGACTTTTTAATTCAGTTCTCAGCTTGATCATCATTAGTGTATAAAAACGCTACCAATTTTTGTACATTGATTTTTGCATCCTGAAACGTTATTAAATTTATTTATCGAATCTAAGAGTTTTTTTGGCGGTCTTTAGAATTTTTATATATATGATATTATATAATCATGAAAGAGGGACAATTTGACTTTCTAATTATAACTACATAGATGCTCCCACCAAGACCAATAGACAGAGTATCTGGGGAGGGCACAGGTGATGGTATTTCTTTAAGCTGGCCATGTGATTATGGCTGGAAGCATGGGCCAGTGGCGCCATCTTGGCCCATGGCAACCTCCACCTCCCAGGTTCGAGTGATTCTGCAGTCTCAGCCACCCGAGTAGCTAGGATTATAGGCACCAGCCACCACACCTGGCTAATTTTTGTATGTTTTAGTAGAGACATGATTTGGCCATGTTACCCAGGCTGGTCTTGAAGTCCTGACCTCAGGTGATCTGCCCACTTCAGCCTCCCAAAGTGTTGGGATTACAGGCATGAGTCACTGTGCCCAACTCTCAAGTTTCAATGTGCCTATGAATTATTTCTGATTCCAGGCTCTCTCTTAGTGATGTGATTCTGCAGGTTTGGAAGGGGCCCATGAATTGGCTTCTTTAAAAAGTCTCCTCTTAATGCTGATGTTTCTTCCACTACATCCAATATAGTAGCACTCAGCTAGAGAAAGTAGGCACAGCACAGAGCTCCTGACACCCAACGATGTTACCACAACACAAATACTTTTGGCTCAAAGTGGAAGCCACCAGTCACCATTTTCAAACATGTCATTTTCTGCTGGCTCTTTACAGTTTAGAGAGCCTAGAGAAGGCATCAATGTTTGAGTAAGTCTGCATTTGGAAAACATGTACACATGAGTTAATACAATGTTTACTGAGCACATATTATGTGTTCAGAAGTCTGTTACAGAGCAATGTTCAGGAAACTTAACATGATGTGAGTTAATCCTCATAGCACCCTGGGGGTTGGGTGCTAAGTTTTCTGTAATTTTCAGGATTTAAATGAAGGGCCTAGCGTTTCTATTTTTTCTTCCATTTTAAAAATTATTTACCTGGAAAATAAAATGTGCAGAATAAAAGCTATATCGACAGATGAGAGGGATGGAGAAAAAAGGGTGAACTGTTCAGAGAGATGTTTTATATTTATATTTACCTTTTTGTGCCTTGTGGAGCAGCTACTAAATTTGCAGGAGAGGAAAACAAGTTGCTAGGTGGGGTGTCTCTAGAAGCACTGGCTTCAATGAAAAAGAAATTACAGCCCCCAAATATAGAATTATTTGCTTCCATTTATCTGCTTTTCCATTTTAGGAAATTGTGGGTACCAGCTCAGGAGAGGTAGCAGGAGCCCCCACCTGAATTTCTGGTCTCCTTTAATCAGTTCTGTGAGAGAAGATTCTAGGGTGAGACCAGACCTGGATGAGGCCATAGAAGAGGGTGGATCTGGGCAGGGCTGGAACAGAAAGTGGACCCCATGTTTCTGATGTTCATGCTGGTGGAGTATTTCCAGTTCTGTCTTTCGTAAGCCTGCCCAACAGAGACTTAACTCTTAGAGCTTATGTAATTTTAATATGTTTTAGCCACTTTCCTGTCAATTTTTATAACACATGATCACAAGAAACTTAAGCAAAACTCTTAGGGTTTTCAGGACAATTATATGAGAAGCTAAAAACTTATTTTTACCAAGATAAAAGAAATAGAAATAATCACAACAATAACAATAATTCTTCTGTCCATGAATAGCCCTTCAGGTGGTGACATCGGAACCCAAGGAACAGCATAAAGGAAGTGGAGCAAATGCAGCCAAGGCCCCCTGTGCAGCTCCCTTCTCCCTTCCGACTACAGGATGATGAATTCAGCCATTAATCCATTTCCCTTCCAACCACAGGATGCTGAATTCAGCCATTAATCCGTTTGCTCTAGATGAAAATTTTCTGGACAGTAGAAACCGTGAATTCTTCATCTGTTTTTCTGATGGTCATGTGATGTAGATTAGATGTCCCCTCCAAATCTCATATTGAATTTTAATCCCCAGTGTGGCAGGTGGGGCCTGTGGAGGAGGTGGTTGAATCACCAGGTGAATCCCTCATGGCTCTGTGCCATCCTTGAGATAGTGAGTACTAGCGATATATGGTTGTTTAGAAGTGTGGCCCATCCCTTCCTCATCTTTCTTGTTTCTGCTTCTACCATGTGAGATGCCTGCTTCTCTTTCACCATGATTGTAAGCTTCTCCAGGCCTTCCCAGAAGCAGACGCTGGTGCTATGCTTCCTGTACAGCCTGCAGACTCTTTTCTTATAAATTACCCAGTCTCAGATTTTTTAAATAGCAATGCAAGAATAACTTAATACATCATATGAAAAGAAAGCAATTGATATATTTACCAGTTTGATTATTTACCAGTTTGAGTCTCCAGACCTCTGCCTTACTTCAACTCAAAGAACAGGAAGGGAGCAACCCCCATCTACTGCTCCTGATCATGGGAGAATCTTCAGCTCATCTTAAAATGTTTCAGTCAAAAGCCTCGTGTTTCACGTAGAAGAAGGAGGGTGTCTGAAAGAATGGGTCTCTTTATTTACTTTTATTTCTGTGACAGGTTCTCTTTCCCTGTCATTATGGCTGGGGTGCAGTGGCTTACTGCATCTTTGACATTCTGTGCTCCAGCGATTCTCCCACCTCCGGCTCCCAAGTAGCTGGGACCACAGGTGCACACTACCACAACCAGATAATATTTGTATTTTTGGCAGAGATGAGGTTTTGTTATATTGAGCAGGCTGGTCTTGAACTCCTGAGCTCAAGTGACCCTCCAGCATCTGCCTTTCAAAGTGCTGGAATTACAGGTGTGAGCCACCACACTGGGCAGATGGGTCTTAACTGATTTTAATCAAGGTACCTAAGCATGGAAGACATGCCCTTAATTATTTTCCTAATACAATATTTGACAGTTATATAACTACGATTTTTTTTTTATTCCTGTGATTCATAAGGGTATGATAGTAAAAGGCCTTGAAAGTCTGTAGGAAAAAAGTGCTATATTGTGCTTGAAACCACCTTTTACTCTGAAAGCAAGTGCCATCCAGGTACATCTGTTGAGAATATATTTTCTCCTGTTGCATTTTAGCCAAACAGCTGAGTGTGTCTTGAAATTGTTTTTTTGATTTTTAACAGGACAAGTGTATTTTCTAAGACCCCAAACTCAGGAGTGGCCATGGGGCAAATCACAGCTGCACACAGAAGGCATGAGCAGCAAATGAATTTCTCACCCTGAACCAGGGGTTTTTCCCCTGGGTGCACATGAGAATCACCAGAGAGGCTTTTAAAATTACCTAAACTCAAAAGGCAATAGATAAATGAATTCAGAATCCCTGCAGTGGGACCTGAGCCACAGTGCTGTTTACAGCTCTCTGGGTGACTATGGGGTACAATCAAGCCCCCAAACTGCTGCTTTAAATCAGCCTCTTCCAGTGAACTAGTGGCAGATGGTTTCCTGAAATGAACGGTTTAAATCAGCCTCTTCCAGTGAACTAGTGGCAAATGGTTTCCTGAAATGAATGGTTTAAATCAGCCTCTTCCAGTGAACTAGTGGCAAATGGGTTCCTGAAATAAATAGAAAGATTTGCTCGTGGGTTGTGGTCTTCTGATCTTACCTGCATTACCTACTTTTCTTTGCCGAACTGACCTCTGCTACACATTTTATTCCTGATTCAATCCAGTTCTACTCATACCAAATGCATATTATGCACTAGGTGCCCTTGCATTGCTGAACCTCACTGTGGGGAGAGGACTTTGCTGAATAATAATTGCATCCTAAAAAAACTCAAAATACTGGACTCGAATGATCCTCCTGCCTTGGACTTCCAAAGAGCTGAGACTGTAGGCATGAGCCACCATGCTTGGCCTATACCCTAAAAAATTAAAACTATCTTACTTACTAAATTGATGTAAATATGAGAAGACCTAGAAGTTCACCAAAGTGTTAGAACATAAGTAAATACCTTGGAATATTAATATCCATCTGATGATGCCCTGAGCAAACATGTCCCACTTTAAAACAGTACAAAACAGTGCTATTATTCTGAGATATGATGTTAAAATTTTGTGCAAATAGGTAATATTTAATTTTTTATATATGTATAACGTTCATGCAGAAAGATGTGTACAAACAAATCATGTAAAGTTCAAAGAATTATTACAAAGTGAACACACGTGTGTAACCTAGAAATAGAACCAGCTTCACTGATGCTCTGGCAACCACTTTCTCTCTTTTTGCTCCCCCAAAGTCACTAAGATCTTAAGAGCTAACATTGTAAATCAACTTTGTATTATTATACATGTTTTATTACAGAAAATTTAAAACATACACAAAATAAAAGAAACAGTACAATAGGCCTGTTACCCAGGCTCAACAACAACTAATAACATGCCAATTTTATGTTATCTATACTTCAACTCATTTCTCACACAGACTTTATTATTTATTATTATTTTTTCTGATATAAAATGTGTGCTCATTGAAGGTAAAATCTTGGCTGAGCAAAATGGCTTAAGCCTGTGTAATCCCATCACTTTGGAATGTCAAGAGGGGAGGATCATTTGAGGTCAGGAGTTTGAGAGCAGCCTGGTCAGCATAGTGAGACCACATTTTTATTATTTTTTTTTAAATTAATCAGGCGCGGTGGTGCACGCCTATAGTTCCAGCTACTTGGGATGTTGACATAGCAGGATCCCTTGATTCTAGGAGTTTGAGGCTACAGTGAGTTGTGATTGTGCCACCTCACATCAGCCTGGGTGACAGAGTGAGACTCTGTCTCAAAAAAATAAATAAATAAAAGTTTGAACTTAACTAGCTTTTTACACATAAACACACCCATACAAACAATCCCTCTTTTAACAATAGAAGTATCAAATTAAAAATCATTAATGTGAATTCATTTTTAACTCAGACTTTATCTTTTAATAAGTTTTTTTTTTTTTGAAGT
>NT_187381.1:0-43739 GCF_000001405.40 Homo sapiens
GCCTTCAGAGTTACAAGGCTATATCAGTTTTCCACGATTGTTTCCCCTTTTTGTTGTTGGTTATTTCCACCTTTATTTTATATGTTTTACTTCTCTTTCCCCCTATTTTCTTTATTAATGGGATGCAAGACTTCACAGCATTTGAAATATAGGTAAAAATGAGCTATCCTAACAAACTGGGACCTATTTATCAAGGAATAATCGGTCCTACCCATGAAAGATAAAACAGCACGGGAGACCAGAGACAAATTTTTTTAGTAAAATACATTCTCTGAAAGATTTTGAAAAAGAAGAGGTGGGGAAAGTGTGAAAGGAAAATAAAAACTTGTGATTTCAATTCATTATGTCATGAGGGGAAAAAAAAAACTAAAAGATGAGTCATGCAAGAAACTGATTTTCCTTTCATTCCTAAGAAAATAGCTACAGATAAAAGGTTAAATAGTTTCACAGATAGCTACTATTTGTTCATTTTTGAAACAGTGCAGGAGAACGACCTAATTTTCTATTTCCCTATGTGCTTCTTTTCCATTACAACATGTAAATTCTCATACGGTCCTTCTTTCCCCTCTAGCCAGCTTTTCCCTTTTATATATTGAAAGCTCTAAAAACCGTCCTTGGGAGAACGGCACTGACCACACACTGTTTCTGTGATTACTTTTACTTTTCTTCCAGGCATGTCCTAACTTTGGCAAAATTAATTTTAATTTGATTGACATCTGTCTCAGAAATCTTTGATTTGCACTAGGAAAGATGCCAAATTAGGAGCCAGTTACTGTAAAACTCAGCCATACCACTGTGCGTGCATGTGTGAGTGTGTGTGTGTGTACATGTGTGCTTTAATTTTTGTGGGCTTTAAGCCATGTCGTTCTCTCTGTGAAGATACGATTTGGCGTGACCTTTGAATAGAGAATTCTAAAATAAATAAGAGTCTCCTATGAATTCTGTGAAAATTTCTGGACTCACCAATGATCTTGACTGTGTCATTGCATCTGACAGTCCCAGGGAAGAGACTCTCTGGTGGTTTCATAAAATCTGTGCTTGGGTTCCCCCTGCAGATTACTGGGTATAGTGATGCCAAATCACTGTTTAAGAGACAATTTCAAAACATAAGATGCTGCTGAAAGAGCATTTTGAATCAGGGGACAGCCCCTTCATTGTGAGAGAGCGACATTGGGAGAATATGCTCTGTGAGCCCAAACAGCATCCTCTGCAGGGTGAGGGCAGAGCGGCAGGGCAAGCCCAGAGCCCACTCAACACAGATGTCAGCCCTGGAGCTGCTGCAGAGGAGTCTGAGGAGAAAAATTTTCCAGCACCTGAATTACACTTATTTCAAAACGAAAATGCAATTAAAAAGTTAAAAAAAGTAATTAAGACACAGTGGCTTACACCTATAATCTGAGAAATTTGAGGCTGAGGTTGGAAGATTACATGAACCCAGGAGTTTGAGATCAGCCTGTGAAAAATAGTGAGGCTTCATTTTTATTTCTGAAAAAAAAATTAACCCAATGAGTCAATGAGAACCAAACTTGAAAAAAGAAAATTTTAGAGTTTTCATATATCTTAATAGTTGGAAGATGTAGAACAAAAATAATTTTATCAATTCAATGTGTGCAAATACTGAGAGACACACTCATGCCCAGAATTCAACCTGCAGAGGGCAAAACCCAAAAAAATGTAGAGGTTGTTAATGTTCCATTTGAAGGTGAGATCATTTTGAGGACCATGTCCTGTGAGAGTCTGTTTCTCTATTAGAAGAGTTCTGTACTCATAAAGTTCTGGACATGCCAGGAGACAAATATCAGTAAACAAACATCAGAACTTGAACTTCAGCTTCCCACTGTGGCATTCTCCATGTGTCATCTCTCTAGTATTTCTCATGCTAGATCAGGTCTTTAGCTATGAAATATTCCTCCTAATTAATGTAAATAGCTTGAAGTCTACAGAGTTAAATATGTATATTTTCTCCTGTTTTTCTCAGTTCTTCCCTCCCACAGCTCCAATATTCTCCACTGTTATCATCACCTTCTGTATTGCCATGCCCTGCAGGTTAAGGATTTGTTTCCATGACCGAGAGGAGGTACAGCTCCATGGAACTTTGGTGAGAACCTCTGTTTTGATTTCATTTCCTCTGGGGCTCCACAAGTGCCTGTGGAAGCATGGTTTCAGTGGCTTGCCCCTGCAGGGTAGATAACTCCTTGATTCTGTAGTGCTAATGAGGGATTTGGTCTGACTGCATTTCAGAAGTATGGGTTCTCCTTCTCTCTCAGAAAGACACTTTGGGAAAGGAAGATTATTCTGATTGTCCCCATTCTAGAACAAAGGGATTCAACTGGATAGGAATGCTGATAAAAGAAAACCTTTGGCCAAATTAAATTTAAAGGAGTTTAATTGAGCAATGGATGATTCATGGATCAGGCAGACCCCCAATCACAGCAGATTCAAAGAGACTTCAGTGCAGCCACGTTGTGGAAGAAGATTAATATATTTTTTTAAAAACGATGTCCAGAAATCAGAAGTGAGGTACAGAAAAAGGTGGATTGGTTACAGGTGGGTGTTTGTCTATTTAAACACAGTTTGAACACTCAAGAGTGTATGAGTGGTTAAGGTATGGCTGCTGGAATTGGCCAAGGCTCAGCTATTGTTACAGGTGCGTACTCCTAAGTTAGGTTTTCAACCTTGTCCCCCTATTCAGGTAGGTTACAGTTGGTCCACAAGGATTCAAACAAAGAAGTAGGGAGTCCTTCTCAGGCCATATTTAATTCACTTTATCAGTGCCCTTCAGCATATGGTTCCTGAGAATTTCACACTGCAACACGTTTACCACACTGGAATTTAAGCAATCCAACACGTTTGTAGCTTTATCTTGTAGCTTTATCTTTCTATATGTCATGTGGCAGCTTCTTGCCTCAGTTTAGCTAACACTGTGGCTTTGTTTCTCTCTACAGGAACTTGTTTCTCCCAAGATTTCCATGTTTGTGAAAGGAAAAGAAATCTTTGGGACCCCCAAATCACTAAGCCAAAGGGAAAAGTCAAGCTGAAAACTGTTTGGGGCAAACCCATCTCCATTTTTTTCCCTAAAATGATAGCTACTAAGGTTTTAAAAAGCTACACACCTCCTTCAAAATTTGACCCAAAGAAGAACCCTTGTGGACCAAGGACAGAGTCATTTCTCTGCTCACATAAGTCAAATGCATATCTGATTGCTACCTTTGCTCTACTGCTTTGCTAAGCCAGACTAAGGCCTACGTGAATATTCCTTTAATTGCACATTTAGTTAAAGGCTAATGAGAAACTCAAAAGAATGCATTTGTCTCATACCTACCTATGATCTGGAAGCTCTCTCCCCAGTTCAAGTTGTCCTGCCTTTCTGAATTAAATCAGTATACATCTTACATATATTAATTAATGTCTTGTGTCTCCCTAAATTGTATAAAACCAAGCTGTGTTCTGCCACCTTGGGCACATGTCGTCAGGACTTCCTGAGGCTGTGTCACTGGCATGTCCTTAATCTTGGAAAATGAACTTCCTAAATCTATTGAGATTAGTCTCAGATACTCTTTGGTTTACAGGTTTGTTTTCTATCGCATAACTTCCATTATCTGAAATATTAAAGAAAATTTGCCAAATAGCACATTCTCTTGTTTTTTGTTGCAAAAAGAAATATATTTATAAAATTTATATACAATTTATAATCTATGCACATTACCAAACTGAGTAGCATATTTATTATTAAGACCCAGAGTAATGAATAATTCAAATACCAATTAGCAACTTAATAGAAAAACAAATTATGCTACATTTGTTTGCTGAAATGCTACCCAGTATTTATGAGAAACACATACAACATAAAAGGTTTAATTTCCACTATTTCTATTGAGAAAAATAAGCCAAATAGATAACAGTACATATCATATTATTCATTCTTATAAATTCTAGAAAATAAAAGCTAGTATAAAGAAATATGAAAACATCAGTAGTTTTATAAGGAAATGGTAGAAGAAGGAAGGAGAAAAACCAAAAAAAATAATAGACCAAGAGAAATGCTGAGGAGAGTTGACTTGTCACCTTCTTTAAAATAGAGATTTTTTTCAAAGTTTACTATTGTACAGGGTAAATATGTGAATTTTATTATCTGTCAATTAAAACTCATAAAATTTATTGCAAGTAAACAGCTAAAAACTTAGACAAAAAAGGGATGATAGGAAGGAACAAATAAATATGTTAAATATCATATACACCAAATATTTATCTGCCTGACGCCTAGTTGTCTCTGTATTTTTAGGTAAATGCAGGAAAATTACACAGGTTCTCATGACAGGAAGTGGATTCTGCAAACCACACTAGGCCCATTTAGCTCTGTCCTAGAGTTGGTTCAGAGAGCAATTGAGGCCAGTTGTGAGGAGCATAGGCCCAGATACTGGGACTCACTCATGCCAGATATAAACCCATGAACACATACATAGCCCTTCCACGTGTAGGTTCACTTTTACATCTGTAAATGAAGAAACCACTGACTCTTAAATAACATAATTTATACACATAGGTAAAAATAATTAAAAATGTGATAGTTGTTAAATGTTTATCACAGAACAATTTCAAAATAAGGCAGCATTTTCCCAAATACAATCATTGTCACCAAAATCCCCCAGGACGCTCTCATCTGCTCTTGGCCCTGCCCTCTCCTCAGGCGTCCCACCCCTGAGCTTGCTATGTAGTAGGAGACATGCAAATAGGGCCTTCCCTCTCCTGATGAAAACCAGCCCAGCCCTGACCCTGCAGCTCTGGGAGTGGAGCCCCAGCCTTGGGATTCCCAGGTGTTTTCATTCAGTGATCAGGACTGAACATACAGAACTCATCATGCAGTTTGTGCTGAGCTGGGTTTTCCTTGTTGCTATTTTAAAAGATGATTCATGGAGAACTACAGATGTTGAGTGTGAGTGGACATGAGTGAGCAAAACAGTGGGTATGTGTGGCAGTTTCTGACCTTGGTGTCTCTGTGTTTGCAGGTGTCCAGTGTGAGGTGCAGCTGGTGGAGTCTCGGGGAGTCTTGGTACAGCCTGGGGGGTCCCTGAGACTCTCCTGTGCAGCCTCTGGATTCACCGTCAGTAGCAATGAGATGAGCTGGGTCCGCCAGGCTCCAGGGAAGGGTCTGGAGTGGGTCTCATCCATTAGTGGTGGTAGCACATACTACGCAGACTCCAGGAAGGGCAGATTCACCATCTCCAGAGACAATTCCAAGAACACGCTGCATCTTCAAATGAACAGCCTGAGAGCTGAGGACACGGCTGTGTATTACTGTAAGAAAGACACAGTGAGGGGAGGTCATTGTGTGCCCAGACACAAACCTCCCTGCAGGAACGCTGGGGGGAAATCAGCGGCAGGGGGCGCTCAGGAGCCACTGATCAGAGTCAGCCCCGGAGGCAGGTGCAGATGGAGGCTGTTTCCTGTCAGGATGTGGGACTTCATCTTCTTCCAACAGTTTCTCTAATGAACCTCTCTAATTTTAGAATTCTGTGGTTCCTAATGTCATCTCTACATATTTTCAAAAGATCATTTTAATATGAGGGCATAACCTCTCATACACCAAATGCACATTGATGTTTACAAAGATGAAAAGTTCTCAACCATTGTCACCAGGATCGCAGTCCTGAGGAAGCTCATGGGTGCCTGATGAGTCTCCTCCATTCAGGCCCAGGACAGAAACCTCAGGGAGACTCCTGGACTAGAACGGCAGGGATTCTGATCACAGCCAATAGAGAGGCTGAGCCAGGGTCAGTGTCCTGTAGGAGCTCACAGGGTTCAAGTCTGACCCTTCTCCTGACCCTAAAGCCAATCCGCATCAGCACTGATCTGGTGCTCCTTTTGCTCCCAATACATGTTCTTTCTTTGGAGTGTTTGTTTTCCCTTTTTTATTTGCTTTTCTTTCTTCCTGAAAAAGAAACACATGGTCTCTGTGGTCTACACTCCAGGGCTCAAGGCATTTTCTTAGAACTCAGGCAAGGCTCAGGCTTGGCTACTGCAGTCACATGGGAGGGGCTGATGGGATTTCCTTCTCTCCCCATATTCTCAGGACCCTCCTCTGTGTTGTGTGTAGACACATCTGGGAATGCAACTGGCCATTAATAGTGAAGGGGATAAACTCATTTGATCAAAATGGGATGTGGATGTGGAATTAACCCTGTTCTATGCACACTGTCAGAGTCATCTTCTTCAGAAGTAGTGTTAGAAAGAGCTTGTGAAATTTATCGGCAACAAAATGGATCCCCTTGTGTTAAAACCCTAATGAATGAAGCTGGGGAAGGCCATGAAGGAGGGTTCTAACACACATATTCCTGATAAGAAGAACTATCATAAATAGACTCTGCACAGCCACAACCTTTTACACAGAGGCCACCACAGCCTTAAAAGATTTATTTCTCCAAGTAAATCTGCCCTGCAACTGCCTGTTCAACCTTACACCGCTATCTCAAAATAGCTGCTGTCACCCTCCTCATTTTTCCTTAATTCTCTTTTTTATTATTTTTTAAATTATACTTTAAGTTCTAGGGTACACGTGCACAAAGTGCAGGTTTGTTACATATGTATACATGTGCCATGTTGGTTTGCTGCACCCATTAACTCATCATTTACATTAGGTATTTCTCCTAATGCTGTCCCTCCCCCTTCCCCCAACCCCCCTACAGGCCCTGGTGTGTGATGTTTCCCACCCTGTGTCCACATGTTCTCCTTAATTCTCTATCTTCCTTTTCCTACCTGAATGTACCCATACATATTTTAATTGAAACGCACATCCTAGAAAAAATATTATTATGCTTTAGAGTCTCTTTCTGTCTGTTATTCAGGTTGACATGACAAGCTACAGACGGACATGCCACTTTTCTGTGAGACATAGAGGATGACAGTTTTTGGAGATGTCTAGGAATATCCAATGTCCATAAGATCAGCCATCAATAAGTGCAGACTGGAGGTCCCAGAGAGAGGCGAAGCTGCTGAATCATCGTGGAATTTCATTTTCTCCAGTTCTGCTCTGATGGAATCAGGCACACCCGTTTTATCAATGACAATCTACCTAACCTAGAGTCAACTGATGACAGTATTAATATCATCTGTTAAGTAAATTCATAACTATATATATAGTGAGAGAGGGAGAGAGAGAGAGACGGAGTCTCGCTGTGTCACCCAGGGTGGAGTGCAATGTCATGATCTTGGCTCACTGCAACCTCTGTCTCCAGAGTTCAAGCATTTCTCCTGTCTCAGCCTCCTCCCAGTATCTGGGAATACAGGCACACACCACCATGTCCGGCTAATTTTTGTATTTTTGGTAGAGACGGTGTTTCACCACATTGGTCAGGCTGGTCTCAAACTACTGACCTCAGATGATCCACCCACCTCAGCCTCCCAAAGTGCTGGGCTTACAGGGGCAGGCCACCAAGTCCAGCTAATTTTTGTATTTTTAGTAGACACTGGGTTTCACAATATTGGTCTGGCTGGTCTCAAACTCCTGATCTCAGCCTCCCAAAGTGCTGGGATTAAAGCCGTGAGCTACTGTGCCCGGTAACATCACCTATATTAATGTTGGATTGAATAACTACAAAGTCTACCCTAACCAAGTGTACCATCAAACTTACCATTACCCAGAGGGAAGAATCTTTAACATGAGATCTATATTCTTAAATGTTTTAAGGTGTAAAACTGACCACTATACAATCATCCAATTATGATTTTGCTAATGAGTTGTAGAAGTTGCATGTATATTTTGGATATTAACACTTTTTCAGATGCACGGCTTGTAATTATATTCTCTTATTCTGTAGGTTGGAATTTCTTCCACACTTTGCAGCATCTTTTTGTTGTGATGTAGTTCTGCTTGTTCAATTCTGCTTTTATTGTCTGTGCCTTTAATTTGAAATATAGGAAATCATCCTTTTTTTATATTTTAAATTTTAGACTACCTGTGCACAACGTGCAGGTTTGTTACATATGTATACATGTGCCATGTTGGTGTGCTGCACCCAGTAACTCGTCATTTAACATTAGGTATGTCTCCTAATACTATCCCTCTCCCCTCCCCACAGCCCACAACAGGCCCCAGTGTGTGATGTTCCCCTTACTGTGTCCATGTGTTCTCATTGTTCAATTCCCACCTATGAGTGAGAACATGCGGTGTTTGGTTTTTTGTCCTTGCGATAGACTGCTGAGAATGATGGTTTCCAGCTTCATCCATGTCCCTACAAAGGGCATGGTCTCATCATTTTTCATGGCTGCATAGTATTCCATGGTGTATATGTGCCACATTTTCTTCATCCAGTCTATCATTGTTGGACATTTGGGTTGGTTCCAAGTCTATGCTATTGTGAATAGTACCACAATAAACATACGTGTGCATGTGTCTTTATAGCAGCATGATTTATAATCCTTTGGGTATATACCCAGTAATGGGATGGCTGGGTCAAAAGCTATTTCTAGTTCTAGATCCCTGAGGAATCGCCACACTGCCTTCCACAATGGTTGAACTAGTTTACAGTCCCACCAACAGTGTAAAAGTGTTCCTATTTCTCCACATCCTCTCCAGCACCTGCTGTTTCCTGACTTTTTAATGATCGCCATTCTAACTGGTGTGAGATGGTATCTCATTGTGGTTTTGATTTGCATTTCTCTGATGACCAGTGATGATGAGCATTTTTTCATGTGTCTTTTGGCTGCATAAATGTCTTCTTTTGAGAAGTGTCTGTTCATATACTTTGCCCACTTTTTGATGGGGTTGTTTGCTTTTTTCTTGTAAACTTGTTTGAGTTCATTGTAGATTCTGGACATTAGCCCTTTGTCAGATGAGTAGATTGCAAAAATTTTGTCCCATTCTGTAGGTTGCCTGTTCACTCTGATGGTAGTTTCTTTTGCTGTGCAGAAGCTCTTTGGTTCAACATACTCAAATGAATCAACATAATCCAGCATATAAACAGAACCAATGACAAAAACCATATGATTATCTCAATAGATGCAGAAAAGGCCTTTGACAAAATTCAACAACCTTCATGCTAAAAACTCTCAATAAATTAGGTATTGATGGGACGTATCTCAAAATAATAAGCGCTATCTATGACAAACCCACAGCCAATATCATACTGAATAGACAAAACCTGGAAGCATTCCCTTTGAAAACTGGCACAAGACAGGGATGCCCTCTCTCACCACTCCTATTCAACATAGTGTTGGAAGTTCTGGCCAGGGCAATCAGGCAGGAGAAGGAAATAAAGGGTATTTAATTAGGAAAAGAGGAAGTCATATTGTCCCTGTTTGCAGATGACATGATTTTATATCTAGAAAACCCCATTGTCTCAGCCCAAAATCTCCTTAAGCTGATAGGCAACTTCAGCAAAGTCTCAGGATACAAAATCAATGTGCAAAAATCACAAGCATTCTTATACACCAATCACAGACAAACAGCCAAATCATGAGTGAACTCCCATTCACAAGTGCTTCAAAGAGAATAAAATACCTAGGAATCCAACTTACAAGGGATGTGAAGGACCTCTTTAAGGAGAACTACAAACCACTGCTCAATGAAATAAAAGAGGATACAAACAAATGGAAGAACATTCCATGCTCATGGGTAGGAAGAATCAATATCGTGAAAATGGCCATACTGCCCAAGGTAATTTATAGATTCAATGCCATCCCCATCAAGCTACCAATGACTTTCTTCACAGAATTGGAAAAACCTACTTTAAAGTTCATATGGAATCAAAAAGAGCCCGTATTGCCAAGTCAATCCTAAGCCAAAAGAACAAAGCTGGACGCACCATGCTACCTGATTTCAAACTATACAACAACGCTACAGTAACAAAAACAGCATGGTACTGGTACCAAAACAGAGATATAGACCAATGAAACAGAACAGAGCCCTCAGAAATAATGCCGCATATCTACAACCATATGATGTTTGACAAACCTGACAAAAACAAGAAATGGGGAAAGGATTCCCTATTTAATAAATGGTGCTGGGAAAACTGGCTAGCCATATGTAGAAAGGTGAAACTGGATCCCTTCCTTACACCTTATACAAAAATTAATTCAAGATGGATTAAAGACTTACATATTAGACCTAAAACCATAAAAACCCTAGGAGAAAACCTAGGCAATACCATTCAGGACATAGGCATGGGCAAGGACTTCATGACTAAAACACCAAAATCAAGGGCAACAAAAGTCCAAATTGACAAATGGGATCTAATATGAAATTCTTAATGAGTTCTATAGTTATAAGTCCATTATTTCTCCTTATTAAAACTAATCTTTTTTGCTGAATGGGTGGAAGATGGTGGCTTCCCTCCAAAAGAAAACATAGTTGGTTCTGTAAAGAGTTCACCCATTTCTTCCACTATAGGCCTGCCCTGGCATAATACAAGCTCCCAACTTAAGAACTTATGATTTTCCATCCATTGGAGAAGCCATCTTTTCCATCTATTATAAAAACAGAAGACACTTCATTAATATCACTCCCACTATAGGCTATGCCATATCCAGTGAGGTAGGATGGCTGACAGTGGTGCGAGTCCAAGTAATTGGTCAAGCACTGCTATGTGTGAAGAAACACCACAGCATACTCTACACTGTCACTCATGATATGGAATTGTTGCCTCCTCAGCAATGTAACTGAGCCCTTAATATGTGGCTTGGATGACAAGGCAATGCCAGCCTGCAGAGTGGAACCTGTTCTTCCTTCTGGGATTAACTAAAGGCCTGTGGCACTCATGGCTGGCCCTACTTTCCTTACAACTGGACGAAACGAAGCAACTGGATATGACCTTATATCCCAGGATGTAACTGTCCAAAGTGCCTTCTCTTTATGTCAACTGGAAAAGTGTGAAAGACAGACACTGTTCTCATAAACGGACATCCTAGTTGTTCTGCCCACTAGCCAGCTCTTCCCCCCAGGTGGCAGTCATAGATTTAGAATTGCAAGTAGAGGCCCTGGCTAAGCAAACCACCAGTCCCTTTAACAACACCTACCATGCCATCATCATTCTTACTGAAGAAACCTCACAGATTTGACAAGTGACACTATGAAGCTATATGACCCTAGGTATTGCAACTACAGCCAAAGGTAACACTTGTGTATTAATGAACACTGAATGTTGCATATATATACAAGATTAGTCCCACAATATAACTCAAGCTATGCAAGCATTAGATACCCATATTTCTGCTAGAGATGGATGCCCTCTCTCAGGACCCTGCGACAGCATGGTTTAGTTGACTTCCTAACACATGGAAGACTTTCATATATAGTAGAGCTGGTATTCTGTTCATTGCTATCTTCAGTTGCTATGGATTTTATTGCTATCTTGCACTTTAAGTGAGAATGTAATACTGACCTTCTCAAAAACTCCTAGGTCCTTGCACCATAATGCTCCAACGAACACCTACTGTAATTCCGGAGACTCCAGAATATTTCCAACTCCAGTTTAATGGATTCCCTTCCAATACATACAACCTATGCCCTTTCTAAAGAAGTAGCCAGAATGACTATGACACATGTTTTCCATAGAAACGAAATGGAATTTGACAGTGGGGAATGATATACAGGCAGCTTAATTTCAAAATGCATTTTAAACTTAGTATTTGAGGTTTTAATATTATTTTTTATACTCCCTGAAACCTGAAATGTCACACTTACATTTTAATTCAGACTTAATAGCAACAAATAACCAGAACACATGAATTGCCTGTAATCTCTATACCTTGCATTGTAAGCCACATTTCAAGTGTAACCTTACTTGTCAGCACAGTATGTTTACCACAGGCATAATTGCTTGTCCTGACTGTCCAGAAGGCAGGGTGGTATTAAGTATGCGGCCTCTGCTGCTGGGAAGTCTGGCTTTGTATACCGTCTCTGCCACTGCTAACTGGAGGACAATGGGCCAGTTACTTCCTGTACCCCAGTTTTCTCATATGTAAAGTAGGGTTGTTGTAAGAATGAAATTAGTTAATATTTAGTACCTAACAACTAATAGGCATTACATGGTAGCTATTCGTATTGCTATCGTCAGACAACACACAGGAGTCCATTGTTATTTTTACCCTCCCCCTCCAAACAAAATGTGTAAGACACTAGACATGGTAGCTCTGTAACGGGGTTCGTCATGTATTAAACTGTGTACCCAAATGATATGTCAAAGTCCTGACAACCAGCACTTCAGAACACATCCTTATTTGGAAATATGGTAGCTGGAGATGTTATTAGTGAAGATGAGGTCTTACTTGAGCAGGGCAGGCCCTCAATGTGGGAAGATGGGTGTCTTTCTAAGTACAAGGAAATTTGGACACAGAGACAGAGACATACAGTGTGCCATATGACAGCAGAGGCAAAGATCAGAGTGGTGCAGCAGTAAACCAATGCATGTCCGGGATTACCAGTCACCTCCACAAGTGAGGAAAGGGCAAGGAAGAAGTCTCCTGAGTCTCAGAGGGAGTGCAGCCCAGCTCACACTTGATTTTGGACTTCTAGTCTCTAGAACTGTGAGAGAATACAGTCCTGTCATTTTTAAGCCACCCAGTTTGTAGTATTTCATTTTGGCAGCCCTAGGATATTCATACAGAATTCTTCACCCAAAAGGAAGCACTCTTTCACACAAACAGTCAAAGTCCTGGATGACAGACAACCTGGAGACTGCAAACCTCCAAGGAATCAAAGGAAGTTCTATAAATTCTAGGGGCCCCATCTTTCAAAGGCTGCTCCTCAAGTCCACACACACACTTTGGAAGGAGAATCCTGCTCTTGGACATGGGATCCTTAGTGAGCCAACTGCCAATAATCCAACATCGTCATGAATTAAAGATCGCTGACATTTCCTCTTCACCAAGGGGAATTCTGTCAAGTAGTAAGTAAAACCCTTCTTCAGTAATCTCCACACCAAACAGTTCTGCATGGCTTGGGACGCCTCAGGAAACTTATAATCATGGCAGAAGAAAAAGGGGAAGCAAGGCAGTCATACATGGTGGCAGAAGAGAGGTTAAACTTTTCTGTCTCTCTTGGGTGTAAAGATATAATCTTGAGGCAAACAGCAGAATCAATTTTCTTACGCCTTGAAATAGACTCCACCTTTCTCCCTTTCACCATAAATATTCCCTTCACATTAATCTAACTTTATGTTTGCATCGAACTATGTGCCTTTTTGGAAGTTCCGGAAGCTAATTTGAGACAGATAGACAAAGTCGGGAGACCCTGATGCAGAATTCCAGAGGTGACTTCAATGTTGCTAGTTAACAACCCAGGCATTGCCCAGATGATGCCAGCCCAAGATCTAGGTGGACTGGGATGCCAGAGAGCTGCCAGAACAAGACGCACAGACCTGGTTCTCAGCCCAAATCTTGCATGCCTTTCTTACCAACTTTTCCTTTTTTAAACCCCTGCCTTTCCTTCAAAATTCAAGTGGTTGCTTGGGATGGGAATGCGGTCACTTCCCCTTTACCATTATGGTTAATACAATAATCTTTGTACCAGATCTCTCTCTTGTTAATTGGATCCTGCAGGTGGCAGATTCCGGACCAGAGTGAGGTTAGAAACTGAATGCACATACTGGGTGGTTCACAGACACGGTGTTCTGTGAAGTTTATGGGTGGATTCCTGGGGAAGCCTGCAAGCCTGTTAGTGATTAGCAGAACCGCATCCAGCTACTGGGATCTGCACGCCAGGTGCCGTGAGCCCCTCACCATGTTCCCTGGTCCCAGCTGCCCGCGGATGGTTCAGCCTCGACAACGGGCTCGGTGTTCTGGGTGGTGGGAGAGCAAGGGGGCCCCTTGGGCAGCGTGCTACAGGGCTGTGAATCCAGGGGCCCACCCGGTGTTCCCTGTGGAGTCACTGAGGGAATGAGGGGCTTCTCAGGGCACAGAGCTGTAACGCCTTTGTGCAGTGGTGGCTGAATACAGTGACACTGGGCGCGTGGTGAGAAGCGGGGCAAGGTCAGTTCACTGAACCCTCCGCCCTGAGCCTCAGATGAGTCGGGGGTCCCCAGACAGGCCCGGCCTCTGCCCTGCGGCGGACACTGGAGCCTTTGCTGTGGCCGCCACCGAGGAGCCTTGACCTCAAAGCAGCGGGAACCTCTCTACCCACCTCGGAAACCTGAAGGCAGCGGCGGCCTCTCCCAGCCAGGACCTCGCCGGCATCCGGGTCTCCAGGCCCAACCCTGTACCACATAAAGGAAGTCCCCGCTGAGCTACCGGCGGGACACAGCGCCGTTGGGTGGGCGGGCGCGGCGGGGCGGGAAGCACCAGGGCAGCTGCCACAGAGATGCGCGGGGGCTGTCGGGAAGTGGGCGGTCCGGGAGACGCGGGGCTGATGGGACGTGGGCGGTCCGGGGACGCGCGGGGGATGGCGGGACGTCGGCGATCGGAGATGCCAGGGGGCAGCTGGGACGTGGGCGGTCTGGAGAGGCGCGGGGGCAGCTGAGATGCAGGTGGTCCGGGACGCGCGGGGGCTGGCGGGTTGTGGGCGGTCCAGGGATGCGAGGGGGCAGCTGGGACGTGGGAGTTCCGGGGACGCGTGGGGTCGCCAGGAAGCGGGGTCTAGGACTTAGATCCGCCTTCTCTTCAGGCCATGCAGCCCCGAAGCTCCGAATCCTGGGATGACTCCTGTCCATGTTGGAAGGGACCCTGCCAGTCCTGGCAAGGTTCAAAGGCCTTAGGGCAAGAAATGTTAGTAGAGTCCTGGAAGACGATGTGGGGAACGGGTAGCGGCCACCGGATGGTGATCGTTCTTCTACAAGACCTTGACATGGATGGGGAGAAACAGAGAAGAACCTTCCAAGTTTGTCCCACTGGACATGCCCACCACACTTTACCAGCCCTTTCTAGAAGGCCTGTGCGTAACACATGAAAAAGCTCTGCTCGACCTTTCCCTGACCTTTTAAAAGAAAACATTTGCTGCATCTAATCCGCCTAGATATAAGGAGGTTCCCAAATGTATGACAGAGTCAGAAAATTACATGTCTTGTAAGTTACCATGTGCTTGTCTTTTGTTTTCCGTTTTTTTTCGTTTTTTTGTTTTTTGTTTTTGAGACGGAGTCTCACTCTGTCGCCCAGGCTGGAGTGCAGTGGCAGGATCTTGGCTCACTGCAACCTCTGCTTCCTGAGTTTCAACAATTGTGCTGCCTCAGCCTCCCGAGTAGCTTGGATTACAAGTGTGCACCACCACGCCTGGCTAATTTTTGTAGTTTTTAGTAGAGATGGGGTTTTGCCACGTTGGCCAGGCTGGTCTTGAACTCCTGACCTCAGGTGAGCCACCCACCTTGGCCTCTCAAAGTGCTGGGATTACAGGTGTGAGCCACCGTGCCTGGCCGTAAGTTACCATGTGCTTTTTAAAAAAATCATAGCAAAGGGGTGTCTTCTGGAAATGACATTTTGAAATGGTGTTATTAGACCACCCCTGGAAGGGACACAGTAACCACACGTCCACGTTCGTTCAGTGGGTGAGAGGACATGGAGGGGAGACCTGGGCAGGAAGGGAAGAGGGTTCCATGCCAGGCTGCTCATATTTAGA
The DNA here is from genome assembly GCF_000001405.40 of Homo sapiens. Classification (NCBI taxonomy): domain Eukaryota; kingdom Metazoa; phylum Chordata; class Mammalia; order Primates; family Hominidae; genus Homo; species Homo sapiens. Next base: position 15,539 of record NT_187381.1, read on the forward strand.
AGACATTTTCATATCATTGTCATTGTTTTCTTGTGTGCGTTTTATTCCTCGCTATTGTATACATCATTGGAAATTCTAAGTATTCTTTTGAAATATCTAGTCTTTCTAGATGTTCTGAAGTGCCTGATGTATGTTAAAATTACAGGTGGTAAAATAATAAATTTTGTAAATATCTTTTTGTTAAAATTCATATGCAGGGTTTTATTTTATTTTGATGTTGGTGGGGGGTGGGGAGGATGGCCAAATCCCTGCTTGATCAACACACATTGCGTTTGTGCTCTGGTTCAGGGGAGGAGAGAGGAGGAGAAAGTGCAGACTTCCAGGCCTCTGTGCGCACCGGGAGGAGAGATTAATGATCATCTCTTCTGTCTGTGTGTTTGTTTTATTTATCTATGGATATCCTGTGTATAAAGGATGAACAAGTCCTATTTATAACATCTAATCTTTTCAGGTGTTAAGTTGCCAGTGTATGACGGAAGTAGCGTTATTAAACGAACGCAGCTTGTACATATTGTGTTAAAATTCATAAAAAGCCAGTCTTCTGAAAAGAACCCTTGGGCCCTCCCTCCGCAGCCTCCGGCGCCAGCTGCAGGAAGACCTGGCCAGGGGAAGGCGGGCGGCACAAGCTGCTGCTGGCTGTGGGGAAGGCGGTGGAGCCCAGGCCTCCACAGGCTCCCCACAGGCTCCCCACAGGCTCGCGCGGCTCTGGTCGCTGGGCTCCGCACGGGCCGCGTGGGGGCGCCTGCTGGGAGCGAGGAGGCGCCATCCTGGCTCGCCTGCTCCAGGAGGACGCTCTGGGCCTGCGCAGATGCAGTTCTCCAGGATGGGCGCGGGCGCTGGGGGCCGCGCTCCTTGGGCTGCTGCGCCTCCACTGAGCCGCCTGGGTGTGAGGACCTCGCGCCGGCGCCTCCGGGAAGGACGCGGAGCCGCCGCGGCCGAGCCCAGGGCTGCAGCTGCTGCCCGACGCCCGCGAGAAGGCCCTTCCGCCACCGCCCGCGGGTTCGAACTTGGAGCAGCTGCTGCCAGCTGAGGCGCCAGCGGCGTCGGGAGCTCCTCAGAGTCAGTGTTTTGTGCTGGATTCGGCATGTCCTCTGAAAACTCGGGAATTTGTCACTGAAATGGTGACAGGAGGTGAGAAGTTTTTTTAGACGTTGCCTTCGCTGACCGGGCGCCGGGCTCAGGCCTGGAATCCCAGCACTTTGGGAGGCCGAGGCGGGCGGATCGCTTGAGCTCCGGAGGTGGAGAAGCTGCCTTCGTGGTAACTGTGGTCTTAAGTTCAGCTGAGAACGATAAATGGCTTTTCCTTGAATTGGCTGCTTTTGTGATTTCTCTCAGGCTCATCTTTCGTCAGTTAAAAATCCAGTGGTAGGTGTAGCTTAGAGACGGGAAATTTTTGGTTTTGTTTTGGCTACACGTAAGTCTTGGAAATTATTTTCTTTTACGTTCCAATGTGAGCAAATCCAGAAGGATGTCAGATTAAACACCGAATTTAACAAATTCAGCCGGGCACGGTGGCTCACGCCTGGAATCCCAGCACTTTGAGAGGCCGAGGCGGGTGGATGATGAGGTCAGGAGTTTGAGAACAGCCTGACCAACATAGTGAAACTCCGTCTCTACTAAAAATACAAAAATTAGCCGGGCGTGGTTGTGCGCGCCTGTAATCCCAGCTACTCAGGAGGCTGAGGCAGGAGAATCGCCGAGATTGCGCCACTGCACTCAGCCTGGGCGACAGAGCGAGACTTCGTCTCAAAAAAACAAAAAAAAAAATCAATCATTGGAATACTGTTGTTCATTACAATTAATGAACGTTTGATACACGCATAAACGCACTAAATTCACAAGTACATATAAGTAAAATAAGCCAAAAAAAAAAACTACATCCTGTATGATGACACTTTTATACATTCTACAGAATAGAAACTGAAGTGACATGAAGGTCGGGAGTTGAATGGAGAAAAGGTGAGAGAAAAGAGGGAGGAAGGCGTTGCAAGAGAATAAGAGAAAATGTTGAGGGTAATTGATTTGTTTTCTATCTTAATAATGGTGATGGTTACATCAATAATTTCCAAATTGTACATTTTGTGTGTTAATTAGAATTTTATATTATTCAAGCTATTACAAATAAATACCTGTATAAATTTCTTAGGGACGGTGTAAGGGAGATGGATAAATCACATAAAAAGTCAGATATTTCTGAATGTACAATGAATAACCCTTAGCTCTATCTCTATTTTTTGGTAATTCTAAAATGCAGCAGTTTTTTTTAATGTTTTTATTACAAGAAGGGTTTCTTCAAACCACACCAGGTATGCGTAACTCTGGGATAAAGTTGGCTAAGGGAGCTGTGGGATCCGGTGGAGAGGAGCACAGGTCCCGATCCTGGAGACCATTCTTGTCACATGTGAGCTCCTGGACACATCTCATAGCTCCCTCATGCTTCTGGGTTTACATTCACATCTGTAAATGGAGGACCAATGGGCATCTGCCTCTAACAATGTATTTTCGTGTGTTAAGATAATGTATGCTAAATGTTTACCACAGCACAATCTTTTACTAAGAAATTACATTTTTTCCAAATATTATCATTGTCTTCAAGCCCCACCACCCACTAGAAAACTTCATCTGCTCTGTGCCTTGCCCTGTCCTCAGACATCCTGCCCAAGAGACTTCTATATAGTAGGAGACATGCAAATAGTTCCCTCCCTCTGCTGATGAAAACCAGCCCAGCCTTGACCCTGCAGCTCTGGGAGAGGAGCTCAAGTGCCAGGATTCCCAGGTGTTTTCACTTGGTGATCAGAACTTAACACAGAGGACTCACCATGTTGTTTGGGCTGAGCTGGGCTTTCCTTGTTACTATTTTAAGAGGTGATTCATGAAGAACTACAGATATTGTTTGTGAGTGGATATTAGAGAAACAGTGGATATGTGTGGCAGTTGCTGACCAGGATTTCTCTGTGTTTGCAGGTGTGCAGTATGAGGTGCAGCTGGTAGAGTCTTTTTTTTTTTTTTTTTCACTTTTTAGCGAACATCCATGGGTTACAAAATAATGGGTTGGCTTTTCTTCCAACACTTTACAGACACCATCAATTTTCCTCTTGCTTATAAGGTTTTAACCAGAAGAATGCTGTCATCATCTTTCCTGTTCTTTTAGAAGGAATGCCCCCTCAACTCATCTCCACTTGTCTGCATGTATTTCTATTTGTCTTTGGTTTTCAGCAGTTTTAATAAGATTCACCTAAATGTGTGTGTGTGTGTCGAGGGGTGTTATGCTATTGTTCTGTGTTCTCTGAGATGCATGGATTCACCGTTTACTCTGTCTCCATTTTTGTGAAAACAATTAGAAAAAAAGTCAGTGTGAGCCTAGAAACAAGCCTCCCTGAAGTGGGCACTGGACCACCTGGGGGCGCTCAGGACCCACTGAGCACAAGAGCCAGCCCCAGGGCAGGTGCAGAGGGGTGTTAAGGTCTGGTTTCCTGTCAGCCCTGTGGCTTCCTCTCCATAAAACAGTTTCCTTTGTGGCACATCTCTGGATTCCTTATCCTTTTTTTCCTGTGAAGTCTGAAGAAGAAACATTTGTCGTAACAAGAGAAAAACTTTCTCATATGCACCAAAGGCAGAGTCACCTACAGTCATTTACTCCTGTTTCTGAATGTCAATAAGGTGTCAATGCTTCTGAAGTTAATCAGCTAAATCTATAAAAGGTGCGGTGTTTAACTCAGCATGGCAGCCCAGCTCAACAGAACTCCAAGGGCCAGTGAGCAAGCAGGCAGGATAAAGTGCATGCTGGGCATTGGGGCAGAGGGAGTTAGCATCCAGTGCAAGAGAAGAAAGCCCCCGTGGTGGTCATTGTCAGGACTCCAAGCCCACAGTTCCAATTGTAGGTGATACTGGGCAAAGGAAGAGAGACCCCACCAATGGTTAGTGTGGATTTCGAGTCTGATGGTTCCACACTCACACTCCAGGTGAATATGAAAACATTTATTAACTCTATTTTTGAGGTGTCTGCTGAGAGCAGCACAGGCCTCTCAAGAAATTTCAAACTGGAATTTCCTCAGTAGACAGGAAAGGAGGCTGGCTCAGGGCTTTATAATGATTTGGTGGTGGGGTTGGGGGTGCGTTTCTACTCAGGAGAAGGAGATTGTGTGATTTAAACCTCACAGGGGCATCAGATAAGGGAGCTTCTGTGATTTCTTACTAGATTTACCACATGCAGGGGATAAGGAGGAGGAAGAATAAACCTTAATTCGTCAGCAACGAGGCACCAAAAATAGGACCTGACGCTTTATTCTCCCTAGCAGCTTAAGAAAATGAGTGAAAAAGAGAGAGAAGAGTCCACTATGTGTGAAAAGCAAACAGGTCTAAAGAAAATAAAAATTTTATTACTGTAAGCACATAATAAAAAGAAAGAGAAGAATGAATGAGACAGGCAGGGGTGCTGAATCAATGTCCTGAGTGGGGCCTTTTCATTATCCACAGTTATCAGTTAATTCTGAAGGTCTCAGGTCAGCTTCCTGCTTCAAAATATCACAGGCCCTTACAGTATATGTGAAAATCCTCGGTTTGTCGTTCTTCACTAAAGTAGCCTTATAATTAGATGTACTTCTGAATTTAATCTTCAGTTGTGTTAAATAAAAAAATAACACAATCTACAATTTAGGAAAGTGAGAGTTTATTTTTATCAAGGGTTACAGCCATCCCATATGCTGGAAAGCATAGCTTTTGGTAAAGACGAGAGAAAGGCACTCCCAGGAAGAAGGGGTTGGGCAGAAGCTTTATGCTGAAGGGTTTGGCTAAACAGACATAATCAACAGGTTACAGGAGGGGCTACTGATGTTCATGGAGGTGGTCCTCACACATGCATACTGAATAAACATTCCTGTAACGTATGACCCCTGTTCACTTACCAGTGGAGACTTAGCATTTAAATTCATTACAGTCAGGCTCTATGTGCCAATAGCAGAAGCAGAAACACAAAGGCACTCAGGGTGCAGCCTCTGTAAACGGCCAGAGCCAGGCCATGGTGAGTGGTCTCTGATCAGGAGAAAGGTCCTGATATCACTCTAGTGTTCAATCAAAGCTGGGGTTATGGCTTGTGGAACAGGGGTCAGTTCATCAGGGGATGGGCTGCAATTGTCTTCATAGTGCTTGTCTCAGTGCCGGTGCTTACTGAGCCACTAGAGAAAACGAATAACCTATTGGCAGTTAGAAGACAGTTTACCTTTTAAGTGTGGGAGTGAGTGGCAGAACCCTTGCCTGACATGGCTTTAGGTCTTGTTTATAATTTGACATCTTATTGCCACAGAGATTCTGTTCTGTCATTCTTTTGATCTCTATTTTAACATTAGTGTTGGTCATTGTCGTGTCTAAACCGCAAAGGGGAGTGAGTGTAAGAGGCACGTCTGATCTTGTCATGGCTGGGATCTCAGTTTTTAGGCTTTTCTGGAGTCCCTTAGATGAACAGATGGACTATTTAGTCAGTTGGGGCACTTAGGATTTTATTTTTGGTTTACAGTTCATAAATATGAACCCTAGTATTGACATTGTGCATATTCACTGCTGTGTTGTGGTTAAAATTACCTGGTAAGATTCCCTTCAAAGCAGTTCAAGAGCAATATTCTACCGTGATGTTTCTTCCAGTAAATACCATTCCCTGTTTTAATGTCATTAGAGGCTATTGAAAAGATGTAGGAAAATGATAGCTTAATCTGTCGATGACTGGAGTGGGTAAGTTACAGTCATCACTTTCAATACTTTGTCATGCGTGCATGTAATAGGAAGAGGTGAGCACCGGGGGTAAATCTCTAAATGTATGCGCCTTCCAGCCACCAAATCATAAGGTGATAACTGATGTCTCACTGAGGGACTTGACTATAATGCTCTAGTGCTAGGGAGAGAAACTTTGGCCAAGGAAGTTCAAGATTTTCTTAAGGTTTTGACAAGTTTAGTTCAAGTATGACAATTTTCTTCAACATTTTCAGAAGATTGTGTTTGGGAATGATGCTGAGTTATATAAGTAATGCTAATGCCTTCTGTGTTTAGATAATATTATAAACAAGACTGTTTGGTATAATGACCCAGTACAATATGTATACTTTTAGTTGTTACGCGATTTCATTTTCCTTTAGGACTTTACTTTCTGAGTTACATGAGTCAGGTCCCTAAAATATAGGCGTGCATCTGAAATTTATTCTTCTGTTGAGAATTTTTACGTGCTCCAGAAGATGTGAGAAACTTCTTTGCGTGAAGAGCATCCCAAAGTCAGGCACTCCTGTAAAACATGTACTTAATCCTTGTCTTTGGCTTATTGATGGGCTCTGTTGACTACAATAACTTCTGTCATGCTGGCTGACTTGACATCAGGTAGAGGAACAGATTCTGAATGCACTACTCAATTGAGTGCATAACCTCCAGTTTTGTTACTGATGTATGATTCATCAGAGATGTTACTAGATCAAGGATTTCAATCGGAATCTAATCTAAAAGATGTGAATAAACTTTCCTAATTTAGATAGTATTACTGTGAGCACACTGCTAGTATTCAGCCATGTCTCCTGTCTGTCACACTGAATTCACGCTAACTTTGACCTAAAAGTTAACACTTGTTCTAATGTTCAAATATGTTATTTTTATTTTAATGTCTCTAGATTATTATGTGTGGCTATTTTAGCCAAGAGTGAAGGAAAGCAAGGTTAACTGACTAAAAATGAGAAAAAGCACAACCTAATGTAATGGAAGTCAGGGCATCAGCATCTCCAGGCTTGTCTATTTCTAGAGTTCATGCAACCAGGGGATTTCTTTTCTCATTTTTACACAAAGAAACACCCAAATTGTCCGTTTCATCTCCCATTGACTCTTATCATCTGTCTCTGTCAGTTTGCTTAGAATTTTGGCCTCCAGCTGAATCCAAGTTGCTGCAAAAACATGATTTCATTCATTTTTACAGCTGCATGGTATTCCACTGTGTATAAGTACCACGTTTTCTTTTTTCAGTCTATAACTGATCGGCATTTAGTTTTATTATATGTCTTTGGTACTGTGAATAGCACAGTGATACACACGTGAGTTGATGTGTCTTTTTGTTCCAATGATTGGTTTTCTCTTGGACATATACCCAGTAATGAGATTGCTGAGGGGAATGGTAGCTCTGTTTTAAATTCTTTGAGAAATCTCCAGATTGATTTCAACAGTGCTTGGGCCAAATTATATTTTCACCAAAAGTGTGTAAGTGGTCCCTTATCTCTATAGCCTTGCCTGCATCTGTTAATTTCTGATCTTTCAGTGATAGCAGTTCTGACATATGTGAGAAAGTATATCATTTGGTTTTGATTCGCACTTATCTGATGACTGAATATGCTGAGCATTTTTATAGGTTAGTTGGCCACTTCTATGTTTGTATTTGAGAAGTTTCTGTGCATGTCCTTTCTCCATTTTTAATGCGGTTATTTGGTTTATGCTGGTGATTAAGTTCCCTATGAATTACCACCTTACATACACTAAGATAATCAGCATTCAAAAAAGAAAAATGAATAGAAAAACATAACCACTTGTAGGTATAGACATACTGAATTTGGAATGGTCATGGCTTGCATGTTGGTATTGAAATGGGACAGCAACTTTGGAAAATGGTCTTCACAGAAAACCTCATAAATGTAGCTAGTGTCACCACTCACAGAAGTAGATGGAGAATACAACTCAAGTGTCCATCGACTGCCAGAGGGATGAAGACGCCGCGGTGCGTCTGTGCATCTGTAACCCACAGGGATGAAGACGCTGTGGTGCTTTAAAAAGGAGTGAAGCACTGACATAGGCTGCAACTCGGATGGGCCTTGTAAACATTGGGTGAGTGAACTGAGGGAGACACGGAAGTCTACATCCTGAATTGTCCTATTGACATGAAGTATGCAGAGGAGGAAAATCCCTAGAGACAGATCACAGGGGGTGAGTGGAGGGGAAATGGAGAGTGACGCTTAATGGAGCTGAGGTTTTCTTTTCTGTGATGAAAATGTTCCCAAACCAAATACTGGTGATATTTGCACAACATTGCAAATGTGTAAAGTATCACTGACCCGTACACTTAATCGTGGCTAAAATTGTAAATTTTATGTCATGTGTATCTCAACACAATAGAAATGAGCACCACATTTTGTTTAGTGACTCAACAACAATAACATTTAGGTTTAAATTCTGGATTCCCCAACAGAACCAGTGCTTCCTGCTGGAGCTGGATCCATCAGCCCCCAGGGAAGGGACTGGAGTGGGTCAGGTGCACAGGTCATGAAGGGAGCACAAATTCTAACCCACTCCTCAAGAGTCCAGTCACCACCTCCAGATCTATGTCCAAAAACAGCTCTTCGTATGGCTGAGTGACATTAGCAACAAGCACACAACCATGTTTGTTTTTTTGTTTTGTTTTGGTGTGTGTGTGTGTGTTTTTGATAGAGTCTTGTGTCACCCAGGCTGGAGTGCAGTGGGGCAATCAATCTTGGCTCACTACGAGCTCCACCTCCTGGGTTCAAGTGATTCTCCAGCCTCAGCCTCCAAGTAGCTTGGACTGCAGGCACTCACCACCACACCTGGCTAATTTTTGTATTTTTAGTAGAGACAAGGTTTCACTATGTTGGCCAGGCTGGTCTTGAACTCCTGACCTTCTGATCCACCCGACTCGGCCTCCAAAAGTGCTGGGATTACAAGTATAAGCCACTGTACCCAGCCACAAACAAGTATTTTTAAGCAAAAGACACAGTGAAGAGACTTCAGTATGAGCCCACACACAAACCTTCCTGTGGGAGTTTACAGAACAGCAGTGGGTGCTGAGGACAGAAGCCAGCACCCAGGAACCAGCAGGGAAACCCAGGGGGCATTTGGCACCGCCTGAAGGCTCAGGACCGTTGTGGGGCTCAGTGGTCAGGCAGGCTCAAGGTTCAGCCTCAGAGCAGGTGTAGCAGGCGGGGAAAGGCTCTGAAGACGGAGTTTAGTGTCACCTTCTCATTTCCACCACTAAACACCCTCCAGCACATCTAGCAGGCGGGGAAAGGCTCTGAAGACGGAGTTTAGTGTCACCTTCTCATTTCCACCACTAAACACCCTCCAGCACATCTAATTCTAATCTAATGTATGGGTGTTCATGTGTTTAGAGAATATTATTTATGTTATGAATCTATAGCCATCTGTGGGTGCATCAAGTTAACCTCTTCAACCTATGTGGACCCTGTTCATTAGGAATAAGTCCTTGTATTTGAGGACCTCACAAATTAATAATTATGTAGAATCACTTTCTTTTTCAGTCTCCTTTCCTTCCTCTTTCTTTCTTTCTCACTCACACACTGACAAACACACGGGGTGCCATAACATTAATTACCTGATGTATTAAAGAATATTGATTCATTTGCAACTTGACCAGTTTAGCTGTTGTTCATGTTGTTGTAAGATCAGGAACATGTTTCTCAGCTGTGTACTCCTCTAAGCTGAGCAGCAGCTTTATTTGAAATACACAGAAACTGAAAACAATCCAAATATTAATCAGCACCTTCATAAGTAAACAAATTGTGGAAAAGTCATTTATTGGGATAGTACCCACTACTACAATCAGTAAATGTTGGATACGATCAACAGCATGGTTCAATTCACAAGTACATATGATGAGTATAGTGAGCCAAAGCACATACATATGATTCCGTTTTATAAACTGTACAAAGTGAATACTCATTGGAAATTACATAACAAAGATCACTAACTGACTTCTCCATAGTAAGAGAAGCGAAGGTATAGGAGGAGAAATTGCGAGAGACAAAGAGAAAATTGAGAGGCGAATTCATTTGTTTTCTCTGTGTATGGTCATTAGGTCAATGTTTGTCAAATGGTGAACATATTGTGTGAAGATTATATGTCAGTATTACCTCATTAAAGTTATTATAAATAAAAGTCTAATGTGGTAGAAAAAGATGAAGAGAGAAATAAAAATAATACAAGAAAAGTCATGAACTCCTGAATGAATTAACCCTTAGTTTTTCTCTATTACTTACAAAAACACCAAGATACAGCCAAATAATATCACGATATCATTATAAGAAGAGTGTTTTGTAAACCTCACTGGGAATTTCTAGCTCTTTCCTAGAGTTAATTTTGGGAACAGTTGGATCCAATTGTGAGAAACGCAGGCCGGACACTGAGACTGGCTCTTATGAGATGTGAGCTCTTGTCTATGTCACATGGTCCCTCCATACTTGGGGGTTTACATTCACATCTGTAAATGAAGGAAACATTGACTCTCAAAGAACATATTTCATGTGCATGTAAAAGTATGAATGCTAATGAGAATTAATTACTTATGAAGTATAATCACCCACATCCACTCTTGGACACAGCCCACTCTGAGGCATCCGTTACAGAACTCATTATATAGTAGGAGACATGCAAATAGGGTCCTCCCTCTGCTGATGAAAACCAGCCCAGCCCTGACCCTGCAGCTCTGGGAAAGGAGCCCCAGCCCTGAGATTCCCAGGTGTTTCCATTCGGTGATCAGCACTGAACACAGAACTCACCATGGAGTTTGGACTGAGCTGGGTTTTCCTTGTTGCTATTTTAAAAGGTGATTCATGGATAAATAGAGATGTTGAGTGTGAGTGAACATGAGTGAGAGAAACAGTGGATATGTGTGGCAGTGTCTGACCAGGGTGTCTCTGTGTTTGCAGGTGTCCAGTGTGAAGTGCAGCTGGTGGAGTCTGGGGGAGTCGTGGTACAGCCTGGGGGGTCCCTGAGACTCTCCTGTGCAGCCTCTGGATTCACCTTTGATGATTATGCCATGCACTGGGTCCGTCAAGCTCCGGGGAAGGGTCTGGAGTGGGTCTCTCTTATTAGTTGGGATGGTGGTAGCACCTACTATGCAGACTCTGTGAAGGGTCGATTCACCATCTCCAGAGACAACAGCAAAAACTCCCTGTATCTGCAAATGAACAGTCTGAGAGCTGAGGACACCGCCTTGTATTACTGTGCAAAAGATACACAGTGAGGAGAAGTCAGTGAGAGCCCAGACAAAAACCTCCCTGCAGGAAGACAGGAGGGGCCTGGGCTGCAGAGGCCGCTCAAGACACACTGAGCATAGGGTTAACTCTGGGACAAGTTGCTCAGGAAGGTTAAGAGCTGGTTTCCTTTCAGAGTCTTCACAATTTCTCCATCTAACAGTTTCCTCAGGAACCCTGTCTAGATCTGTGATCTGGATCTGCTGAAACTGCCTGTGTCACCTTCCTCACCTGTGATTTTGGGGGAGCTGATTGTGGACACTCCAGTGTGTGGGATTTCTTGATGACAGCAATTGTGTCTTCTGTCTAGGCATGTCTAGGGCTGGCCATCAGGAAGGGCAGGCTGGAATTTTTGGAAAGAGGCGCACCTGCCATCCACCAGGAAATTTTGTTGTCTTTTGTTCTGCTAGAATTAAATCAGACACACCAAGGTTAACTAGCACTATCTTCCTAGCTCGAGAAACTTGATAGCAAGCTTGAATAACACTTGTATGAAACCATCAGAGCAACACCTAGAATAGTGTCTGATTTAATAATTGAGACTATGGTCTAGCCAAGGAGACACATAAAACGTGATTTCCAAGGTTGGTTCATATTTTATATTTATCAATAGAATCTGGCTGGTATTATAAACAGCTTTGCCAAAATATGTGTGTTAGTGTTGGTCTTCGGAGAAGCAAACTCTGTGACTGGATTAGCTTCGTGTACAGTTTCCTTCGTGTACAGTTTCCCTGTCCACTCTTCTGAGAGGAAATGCAGAGGTGGTGGAAGGGGTCTGGGGTAGCTGAATGCATGTGAGGGAAGTCGGTCCCTGAGTGAAGGAGAAAGGGAGGAGGACTGGGTGGAACTTTCCTAAACTTCTGTGTTGTTCTATGAAGGTCCAGCAAGGTCACTGAATCAGAGTCGTGTCACAGTTTCCCATCGGGGACCCAGTGACTCCCAGCAGTGGCTCTGCTCAGATCAGCGCAGAGCTTGTTCATCTCCTAAGAGTGGAGCACAGGACGTGGCTCCAGCACCAGCCATGGCATGGAAGATAGAGAGCAGCCCTGGGTGCCTGGGTCAGGTGCATTGTGCTCCCTGCAGGTGGAGGGAGGGAAGTGCTGACTCAGGGCCCAGAGACTGTGGGTTCTATACAGAACATACACTTTTACTTCATTTCTGTGGATGACATAGAAACAAACATGCAGTCTGTAAACAATGGTGATTCCTACATTTGCCCCAGTTGCTTTATTCCTTGATTCTGCAGAATGTCCTGGCACAGAATTGCCTTTCTCATGTGAAATTGTGATGTGTGTTCAGGATGTGTGATCCCTACTTTCATTGTTTTCCTCCATGTACAGAGCTCCTAAATAGAGTACAGCTGACCCTCCTTCTACACTGTTCCTCTCCTCCCCACAGGAAGAGCAGATAATTACCTGAGGCTGAATCTGAGGTGGGATCTGTCCTCTGAACCTCAGAGCCTGCAGAGACCCCCAGCTGCAGATTCATGGAGTCAGGTGTTTGTACATGTGGGAACCTTGAGCTGTTCTTTTGTCAGTGAACACTCCTTAGAACTAATTGTGGGTTCAGAATTAGGACACCCATTGATCTATCACACCTCAGCTCATTCTGCCACTCAGAATCTCCAGAAATTCAGGAAATGGTTGAATGTACATTTTTGTGACAAATTTTTCTCATTTCACTTAGTTGTGAGTTTTGTTAGCAGAAAGTGCTACCATTTATGGGTCCCAAACTGATGAAGCTCATTTGCTTCAACAGAAGTTAGGAGGCTCCTAAAACTTCTCATCATCCCCTCTCTCTGCACTTCATGTGAAATTCAGTTTTACCTGGAATTCTGGTGTGTTGGTTTAGCCAGATTTCCCCATCCTCCATGTCTGATTTTCCTGGGTATCTGATCAGTTTCCTTGCCCTTCACCATACCTCGGTGACGTCTAATCACCCTGGCCCAACATCAAGAATTCTGGCAGGTTGGTTTAAGCAGGATTTGCTGTGCCCCTGATGTTTCCTCTCAGTAATTTTCCATCTTCCGGACCCCACCCTGCTGCTTGGCTTTAAATCCCCACATTTCCTTTCTGCATTTGGAGTTCAGCTGAATCTCTCTCCTCACTGCAAAACACCATTGCCCTGATCCCAACACCTACCATGAGGACCCTGGATAAAGTCTTCCTTACTGTGCTGGAACAAGTGTCTTTACTTGATATTTTTTCTTTAATAAATCTACCTTTAGTGCTTCCTAAGTTGCTCAAGGAACCTCAAAAAGTAAGATAAGTGCGATTATCCATTTTACTGTGTGTGTATGTGTGAATTTCAATTTCCATGTGTGGTGTCCAGAAGTCCTGAGCACAAACAGTTTTGCTTCTCTGTCCAATTCTTTGCTTCTGAAACCCAAGAGTCATCCCAACATTGGTAAATTGGCGATTTGTTTTTACTATTTAGTGACTGACATATTTCACTTAACCTGAAGCTTCACAAAGACAGTGATGAAAAGTAGATAGAGGACTTGTTTGGAAATGCCAGATTTAGGGTAGACTTTACCACCCACGTGTGTCTGGAGATCTCCTTAGGATTCCAAGAACAGGGTGGTTTTTTTCCACCACAGGACAAGGATGAGAACCTCCAAGCTGTGATGATAAAGGACAGGCAGGGCCATGTGTGGACAAGGACGGGCTGCTGCCACGTCCAGAGTGTTCTCTCCTAGCAACGCCGCCATCTCCTTCCTCACACTGTGGTATTTGTCAGATGGGAAACATGCCTAGAATTTATCTTTGACATATGGATGGAAGCCCAGGCTAGAGGCATTTGACAGCTTATTTCTGAACCTCCTTCTTTAAGGAATGCCCAGATCCCTTGCTCTGCTTCTTGGTTCTTAACCCCTTTAGCTCCCTTCCGCTCCTGCGCCCATGCACTGCCTCTTTACGGCCACTTCCCCACACCCTTCACTGTAGCACCATTTTCTTGGGCTCCTTGGAAATATCACAGCTTTGGTTTAACTCACAGATCAGGCACACTCATGGGCCCCTCCAGAGGCTCTCGATTTCCCTCCCTCAGGCTCCTCCTTGGGGTCCTAACTTGGCCATCTCTATTCTCTCTTCTGAGCCTGACCATCCACAATCCATCCCAGCTGGACTTGTGTATAGCAGTGGGTTAACTCAGCAGGTATGAATTGTTCAAACCCTGCACATTCCTAAAAAATAAATAACTAAAAAAAAACAACTTTTGTTCATTTATTGCTGTTACCTACTGTGATGAGATCTCCGAGTCCATAAAATATTGCACCTGATAACAGTGTCTGTGGATGTCTGTAGCCTTGGGACATGCGGTACAAGTTTAATCACAGTGATTTATAGTGAATGTCTACTTTTGTTTTGCTGGAGAGGGCTGTCGTCTGAGTATTGTGGTCAGTTCCCCAGGTGTTCCATGGTCTATGATTCATTCCCCAAACACAGCCCTGGACAAGAAAGCTCAACGGCACTCCCCTTGTTGTCAACACTTCACACAAGCCATCTTACCTCACAGCTGAACAATTACACATGTGTAGAAGGCTCCACTGTGAGAGGACCCCTGAGAGCTTGTGCCTGGATTCTCCAGGGCTTCACTCCTTGTGCCTTTTGTCTTTGCTTATTTTAAATTGTATCATTTTGCTGTAATAAACTGTTCCTGTGAATAGAACAGTTATGAGTCCTATGTTTTTACTGATTTTTCAGCCTACAGGTGGCAGATGAGAACTCTCAACACAGTTGTGTTAGAAGAAGGATTTCCTAGAGAGACCCTGACTCAATGATGATACATGGCTGAAGCATTGCATGGAAAACGTAAGTGTTCAGGTATGGAATGGCAAAATTTGATACCTGGGGAGTGACAGAATACTACAGTCTATTACAGCAGCTGAGCTGAAATCGGTTTCTGGAGGTAAATGGGATTTAGAAATTATAAATCCAACTCCCAAGGAGCTTGGCTCTGTTGATACATAATGAAATGTGAAATGATTAGAAATAGCCTAAATAATGCAATTTCCATCTGTGAGAACTAAGTGAAAATCCAGGAGAGAGTTGGCAGGGAGAGGGATACTGCACCAACCTCAGATTTTGACCATTTTCATTTAGGGCTGATGGGCTCATGACCACTAGAGTTAGCAATTACACTGTGATAAAAGATAAAAGCTTCACAAACTCTACCCACCCAGAAGGTGGCTCAGGTGGTGAAATGGGGAGAGTAAGGCATGAAACGACTGAAATATGGGAGGATAGTGAGATGGGTTCTCTCTTTTTGAGTTTTATCTTTTGCTTCTTTAATAATTTTTGTTAATCTGGATTTGGAGAATGACTAGTATAAAAGTGGATTCTGTTTTGAGTCCCTTAGAATGGAGGAGAATGTGTGGGCCAATGTTGTGCCCAGAGACTACTACGGAACAATAGTAAATGAATGTACATGACCCAAACACAAAGCTTTGTGGTTGCTGATGGGAGAGCTGCACTGCCCTGGCCTACTGGATAACAGCTTCTCCAAAGTGTATTTACCCTGACAATGGAGATTGCCTTTCTCTTTTAAGTGAAAAAAATGGAACACTACAATAAAGTAGTGGTAATGCTGTGTGTGTATGTATAAGACATTCTGGAGTGGGTTTGTGATAATTGGGATATGTATCACTTATCCTTTTGTTTGTATACATTTATGGGGTGAAAGTGCCGTTTTGTTACATGGATATATTGTTGAGGGATAAAATCTGGGCTTTGAGTATAGTCATCATCTGGATGGTGTATATTGTACCCATTAAGTAACTTCTCATCCCACATGCCACTCCCACCCTCCCAACCTTCCAAGTCTCCAATATTTCTTATTCCACACTCTATATCCATGTGTACATATTATTTAGCTCTCACTTATATATGACATGTGGTATTCAACTTTATTCTTCTGAGTTCTTTAACTTAAGATAGTGGCCTACAGTTTCATCCATGCTACTGGAAAATACATAATTTCATTCCTTGTCTATTATTGAGTAGTAATTAAATGTGTATATGTACATACACATGTATAGTGCGTGTATGTGTGGGGATGTGTGTGTACATATATGTATATGTATGAACATATACAACTGTTTCCTTTATCTAACCATTTACTAATAGAAACTTAGTTTGGTACCATGTATTTGCTATTGTGAATAGAGCAGCAATAAACATATAAATGCAGGCATCTATCTGATATAATAATTTATCTTCCCTTGGGTAGATACCCAGTAGTGGGACTGCTGAATGAAATATTAGTTCCAATATTAATTATTTGCAAAATCTCCATACTGTTTTCCATAGAGCTTATAGTAATTTACATTTCCACTAGCAGTGTATAAGCACTCCTGCTTCTCTGCATCCTTACTAGCATCTGTTTTGTTTTGTTCCATTTTTCTTTTTGACTTTTTAACAGTAGCTGTTCTGACTGGTATAAGATGGTATCTCACTGTGTCTTTAAATTGCATTTTTCTGATGATTAATGTCATTGATTATTTTTTCATATGCTGGTTGATGTTTTTTTGTCTTTTGAAAAATAAACGTTGTAGTAATTTGCTCATTTTTAATGTGGTTATTTGTAGGTTTTTGTGTTGCTTTTGTTTCTTATAGTTTCTAAATATTAGCTCTTTGTCAGATACAGAGTTTAAAAATAGTTTTATCCCATCCTGTACACTTTCTGTTAAGTTTTTTGGTTATTTGTTTTGCTGTTCAGATGCTTTGCTTCTTATTTGTATTAAGTCCAAATGGTCTATTTTGTTTTTTATTCTGTTTACTTTTAAAGTTGTAGTCATGAATTCTTTGCCTAGGACAATCTCCAGAACAATATTTCCTAGAATAGCATCTGCAACTTTCAGACTCTCAGGTCTCCCAGTTAAGTCTTTTATCCATATTGGCTTAATTTTGGATATAGTGAGAGATACGGGTCCAGTTTTATTCTGCTGCAAATGGCTGTTCAGTTTTTCCTGCACAATTTATTTAACAAGGTGACCTGTTCCCAGTGTATGCTTTTTGTCTAGTTTTTCACAGTCAGTTTGGCTGCAGGCATTTGACTTTATTTATGAAATATCTATTCTGTTCCACTCATCTATGGCTTTCTGCTAGATTGTTACTTGTGTATAATAATACTACTGGTTTTTGTATGCTTTTTTCATTTATT
Organism: Homo sapiens; assembly: GCF_000001405.40. Classification (NCBI taxonomy): domain Eukaryota; kingdom Metazoa; phylum Chordata; class Mammalia; order Primates; family Hominidae; genus Homo; species Homo sapiens. The sequence continues at coordinate 32,719 of NT_187381.1, forward strand.
CTAAAACTTTACTGAATTAACTCATCAATTCTAGGAGTATTTTGAAAGAATATTAGTTTTTTTTAAGTACAAAATCATATTATCAGCAAACACAAAGAGTTTGACTTCCTCTTTTCCAATTCGAGTCCCTTTCTTTCTTTCTCTTGCCTAATTTCTCTGGCTAGGATTTCAAGTTCTATATTGATTAAGAGTGGTGAAAGTGGGCATCCTTGACGTGTTCTGAGTCTTAGGAGGAATACTTTCAACATATTCCTATTCAGTATAATGTTGTTTCGGAGTTTGAAGGTGATTTATGGAGAATGAGAGATGTTGAGTGCGAGTGGACATGAGTGAGAGAAACAGTGGATATGTGCGGCCGTTTCTGACCAGGGTGTCTCTGTGTTTGCAGGCGTCCAGCATGAGGCGCAGCTGGTGGAGGCTGGGGGAGGCTTGGTACAGCCTGGGTAGGTCCCTGAGACTCTCATTTGCAGCTTCTGGATTCACCTTCAGTGACTTCTGGATGCACTGGATCCGCCAGGCTTCTGGGAAAGGGCTGGAGTGGGTTGGCCGTATTAGAACCAAACGTAACAGTTACACGACGGAATGCGCTGCATCTGTGAAAGGCAGGTTCACCATCTCAAGAGATGATTCAAAGAACACACTGTATATGCAAATGAATACCCTGAAAACCAAGTACACGGCCATCTATTACTGTACTAGAGACACAGTGAGGGGAGGTTAACCTGGGCCCATACACAAATCTCCCTGCAGGGGCGCGCAGGGCCAACTGGGGGCGCTCGGGACCCACTGAGGACGGGACAGGTGGGCGGGTGCAGGGGGAGGTTTCCTTTATCAGCTGCAGGAGGCGGGTTTGTTTTTGCAGGAATCTGGAGCCTTATGAGGTTTTGATATTTTACTATGCTTATTTATCATGATTTTTTAAAATTGGGATTTGTGTTTTAGTAATTTTTAAATTTATATGTAGGGGTATTTTTAAAAATTAAGTTTTAGGGTACATGTGCACAATGTGCAGGTTAGTTACATATGTATACATGTGCCATGTTGGTGTGCTGCACCCATTAACTCGTCACTTAACATTAGGTATATCTCCTAATGCTATCCCTCTCCCCTCCCCCCACCCCACAACAGGCCCCGGTGTGTGATGTTCCCCTTCCTGTGTCCATGTGTTCTCATTGTTCAATTCCCACCTATGAGTGAGAACATGCAGTGTTTAGTTTGTTTGTCCTTGCGATAGTTTGCTGAGAATGATGGTTTCCAGCTTCATCCATGTCCCTACAAATGACATGAACTCATCATTTTTTATGGCTGCATAGTATTCCATGGTGTTTATGTGCCACATTTTCTTAATCCAGTCTATCATTGTTGGACATTTGGGTTGGTTCCAAGTCTTTGCTATTGTGAATAGTGCCACAATAAACATACGTGTCCATGTGTCTTTATAGCAGCATGATTTACAATCCTTTGGGTATATACCCAGTAATGGGATGGCTGGGTCAAATGGTATTTCTAGTTCTAGATCCCTGAGGAATCGCCACACTGACTTCCACAATGGTTGAACTAGTTTACAGTCCCACCAACAGTGTAAAAGTGTTCCTATTTCTCCACATCCTCTCCAGCACCTGTTGTTTCCTGACTTTTTAATGATCGCCATTCTAACTGGTGTGAGATGGTATCTCATTGTTGTTTTGATTTGCATTTCTCTGATGGCCAGTGATGATGAGCATTTTTTCATGTGTCTTTTGGCTGCATAAATGTCTTCTTTTGAGAAGTGTCTGTTCATGTCCTTCGCCCACTTGTTGATGGGGATATTTGTTTTTTTCTTGTAAATTTGTTTGAGTTCATTGTAGATTCTGGATATTAGCCCTTTGTCAGATGAATAGGTTGCAAAAATTTCCTCCCATTCTGTAGGTTGCCTGTTCACTCTGATGGTAGTTTCTTTTGCTGTGCAGAAGCTCTTTAGTTTAATTAGATCCCATTTGTCAATTTTGGCTTTTGTTGCCATTGCTTTTGGTGTTTTAGACATGAAGTCCTTGCCCATGCCTATGTCCCGAATGGTATTGCCTAGGTTTTCTTCTAGGGTTTTTATGGTTTTAGGTCTAACGTTTAAGTCTTTAATCCATCTTGAATTAATTTTTGCATAAGGCGTAAGGAAGGGATCCAGTTTCAGCTTTCTACATATGGCTAGCCAGTTTTCCCAGCACCATTTATTAAATAGGGAATCCTTTCCCCATTGCTTGTTTTTGTCAGGTTTGTCAAAGATCAGATAGTTGTAGATATGCGGCATTATTTCTGAAGGCTCTGTTGTGTTCCATTGGTCTGTATCTCTGTTTTGGTACCAGTACCGTGCTGTTTTGGTTACTGTAGACTTGTAGTATAGTTTGAAGTCAGGTAGCTTGATGCCTCCAGCTTTGTTCTTTTGGCTTAGGATTGACTTGGCAATGCAGGCTCTTTTTTGGTTCCATATGAACTTTAAAGTAGTTTTTTCCAATTCTGTGAAGAAAGTCATTGCTAGCTTGATGGGGATGGCATTGAATCTATAAATTACCTGGGGCAGTATGGCCATTTTCACGATATTGATTCTTCCTACCCATGAGCATGGAATGTTCTTCCATTTGTTTGTATCCTCTTTTATTTCCTTGAGCAGTGGTTTGTAGTTCTCCTTGAAGAGGTCCTTCACATCTCTTGTAAGTTGGATTCCTAGGTATTTTATTCTCTTTGAAGCACTTGTGAATGGGAGTTCACTCATGATTTGGCTCTCTGTTTGTCTGCTATTGGTGTATAAGAATGCTTGTGATTTTTGCACATTGATTTTGTATCCTGAGACTTTGCTGAAACTGCTTATCCGCTTAAGGAGATTTTGGGCTGAGACGATGGGGTTTTCTAGATATACAATCATGTCATCTCCAAACAGGAACAATTTGACTTCCTCTTTTCCTAATTGAATGCCCTTTATTTCCTTCTCCTGCCTGATTGCCCTGGCCAGAACTTCCAACACTATGTTGAATAGGAGTGGTGAGAGAGGGCATCCCTGTCTTGTGCCAGTTTTCAAAGGGAATGCTTCCAGTTTTTGTCCATTCAGTATGGTATTGGCTGTGGGTTTGTCATAGACAGCTCTTATTATTTTGAGATACATCCCATCAGTACCTAATTTATTGAGAGTTTTTAGCATGAAGGGTTGTTGAATTTTGTCAAAGGCGTTTTCTGCATGTATTGAGATAATCATGTGGTTTTTGTCTTTGGTTCTGTTTATATGCTGGATGACATTTATTGATTTTCGTATGTTGAACCAGCCTTGCATCCCAGGGATGAAGCCCACTTGATCATGGTGGATAAGCTTTTTGATGTGCTGCTGGATTCGGTTTGCCAGTATTTTATTGAGGATTTTTGCATCGATGTTCATCAAGGATATTGGTCTAAAATTCTCTTTTTTTGTTGTGTCTCTGCCAAGCTTTGGTATCAGGATGATGCTGGCCTCATAAAATGAGTTAGAGAGGATTCCCTCTTTTTCTATAGATTGGAATAGTTTCAGAAGGAATGGTACCAGCTCCTCCTTCTACCTCTGGTAGAATTCGGCTGTGAATCCATCTGGTCCTGGACTCTTTTTGGTTGGTAAGCTATTAATTATTGCCTCAATTTCAGAGCCTGTTATTGGTCTATTCAGAGATTCAGCTTCTTCCTGGTTTAGTCTTGGGATAGTGTATGTGTCCAGGAATTTATCCATTTCTTCTAGATTTTCTAGTTTATTTGCATAGAGGAGTTTATAGTATTCTCTGATGGTAGTTTGTATTTCTGTGGGATCGGTGGTGATATCCCCTTTATCATTTTTTATTGCGTCTATTTGATTCTTCTCTTTTCTTCTTTATTAGTCTTGCTAGTGGTGTATCAATTTTGTTGATCTTTTCAGAAAATCAGCTCCTGGATTCATTGATTTTTTGAAGGGTTTTTTGTGTCTCTATTTCCTTCAGTTCTGCTCTGATCTTAGTTATTTCTTGCCTTCTGCTAGCTTTTGAATGTGTTTGCTCTTGCTTCTCCACTGAAAAAAGATGATCATATTTTGCAATGCAAGGACATGAGAATTTTGGACTCAAGAGTGCAATGATATAGTTTAGATGTTTTCCCTTCCAAATGTTATGGTGAAATGTGATTCTCAATGTTGGAGATGGGACCGACTGGGAGGTTTTGGGTCATGGGGAAAGATCCTTCAGGAATGGCTTGGGAACCACCCCATGGCACTTAGTGAATTCTTGCTGTATTAGCTACTATGAGATCTGATTGTTAAAAAGAGTCTGGCAACCCTTCTTGCCACTCATGTCCCAGCTCTCACCATGTGACATAGCCTGTTTCCCCTTTGCCTTCCACCATGATTGTAAAGCAGATCCTGGTGCCATGCTTCTCACACAGCCTTCAGAACTGTAAGCCAAATATGCCTCTTTTCTTTGTAAATCACTTGGCCTCAGGTATTAATTTATAGGAATGCAAAAGAGACTAACACACTGTCCAAAGCATTACACAGATTCAACTCTATTTTTATCAAATGACCAATATAATTGATTACATATTTAGAAAAAAAATACTAAAATTCCTACAGAATCAAAAAAGTGTCTGAATAGCAAAAGCAATCCTAAGCAAAAAGACCAAAGCTGGAAGCACCACATTCTCTGACCTCAAATTATACTACATGAATATAATAAGAAAGACAGCATGCTACTAGTAGAAAAAAATAGCCCAGAAAGAAAGCCAAATATCTAAAACCAACTGTTGTTTGAAAAAACTGACAAAAATATACACTGGAGAAACAACCCTCTATTCAATAAATGGTGCCGGGAAAATTAGGTGGCTTATGTGGAAGAATAGAACGAGACTTCCATATCACCATAGACACAAATTAACTAAATATGGATTCAGTGTTTAAATTTATAAATTAAACTATAAAAATACTTGAATAAAATCTAAAAAGAGTCCTCTGGACATTGGTCTAAGCAAACAAAATATGACTAAGACTTCAAAAGCAAATGCAATAAAAACAGAAGTAGACAAACAGGATTTAATTGAACTAAAGGTCTTCTGCACAGCAAAAGAAATAACCAACATGGTGACCAGACAATCTGCAAATGGAAAAAATATTTGGAATCTATTCATCTTGCAAAGGGCTAATATATAGAATCTACAAGTAACTCAAATAAGTCAACTAAAAATTACAAATAACTTCATTAAAGAATAGACAAAAACAGACATTTATCAAAAGAATACACAGAAGTGGCCAACACAAATAAAATATACTCAGCATCACCAATCATCTGATAAATGTAAATTAGAAACAACATGATATGGCATCTTCCACCAGTCAGAATGGCTGTTATTACAAATAAAAAACAGCAGGTGTTTGCAGACAAACATAGGAAAAATAATGATTTATATATGCTTGGTGAGAATGTAAATTAGTACAACCTCCATGAAAAACAACATAGAAATTTCTCAAAGAACTAAAATTAGAATTACCATTTCTTCCAGCAAGCCATCCCAGTGGGCATGTTCCTCCCAAACTTTTATATCAGAGAATGTTGCCTGCACTCCTATGTTTATTTCAACACCATTTTTAATAGAAAAGTCAAGTAATCTATCTAAGTGTCAATCAGTGGATGATTAGATAAAATATGATATATGTAAATCATGGAATACTATGCAGCCAGTATGGTATGAATTCGGTGTGACCAGCCCCTGGACAAGGGCTCGAGTGGATGGGATGGATCATCACCTACACTGGGAACCCAATGTATACCCACGGCTTCACAGGACGGTTTGTCTTCTCCATGGACACCTCTGTCAGCATGGCGTATCTGCAGATCAGCAGCCTAAAGGCTGAGGACACGGCCGTGTATGACTCTATGAGAGACACAGTGTGGAAACCCACATCCCGAGAGAGTCAAAAACCCTGAGGGAGGAGGCAGCTGTGCTGAGCTGAGGCAGTGGTGCAGCAGTTTCTTTAACTTCCATATGATCTCATTTTGCATCATCTTCTACTTTTATATTAGCTAAGAACTTGGGGTAGACGGGTGCTCCTCAGAGATCCTTAACTTGCCCATTTTGATGGGTTTTCCAGAAGACATGAGAAGCCACTTTGTTAGCAAAGCATCCCAAAGCCATGCCCTGTTCTAGACACATGTGAGCCCATTTCCTGGTCTTTGCTTAACTGACAAGCTCTCATCAGTGCACCTGGGCTAATTTCACATCAGGTAGAAGAATGCGTTCTAAAGGAAAGCTAATGTTGTAATAGCAATTCCTGCTTAAAAACCTTCAGCTTCATTGTTTTTGTGTAATCTATCAACAAATTATATTAGTTCAAGGTTCTCAATGGGAGTTTCTAATAAATAGAAAGGATGTATAGAGCTTCCCCTAATTAAAATAAAACAATTGTGAACACAACCTCAGTATTCAGCCATGTCTACACCCTTCACATCCTTCGCCACAAAGGAATTTTCACCTCTCCTGGAAGCTGGGTTCATTTTCAAATTAGTTATTTTTTTCAATTTAATATCTCAAGATTATCATATATGACTATTTTAGCAGACTATTTATGCTATAAAATTAATAGATGACACTGCACTCCAGCCTGCACAACCAAGCAAGTCTTCATCTGTAAAATCTAAAAAAGAAAAATTAATAGGTACTGACTTTGAAATTTTTGATAATAATATTTTCAAAACCCAAATTTAATTACACCCACATGTTACCTCCATCTTCACTGAAAAGTTCCCAGTCACAATAAGTTCCATGAATGCTCCATGTGTTCAAATCTGGACATCAAGAGAGTCCAGAGAATAAAATACAATGACGGCAGTGAAACTGGTGTATATTTAGCACCTCTTAACTCAGGAGGACTCCATACACCCTGGCACACAGCTGCTTTTCTAAATGGTTCACAATGACTCCAGCTCACTCACAGAGCTCAGACAGAAATCTCCCTTCAGGGTGGGAGCTGGGTGGCAGGGGGCACTCAGTACCCACAGAGGTGAAAATGAGCTTTCAGATGGAACTTCCCTGTCACCTCAACATGGAATTTATTGTTTCATTTCATTACCCCTCTTTCCATAATGGTTCATTTCTTTTGGCCTGTTCATTACTGATATTTTTCAGAGGAATCTCACTTGAATCTTTACTCTTTTGCATTTTGTCTCCATGGCAATGTTGGGAAGTTTTACCTCCAGCATCATAACATGATCTAGTGATCTGACACATTGTGCAAACAATACCTATGAATTCAGAAGCTCTTTGCTTTTCTTTCCACGAAATATAATTCTTTCTGTTCTGTGTATAAGCATGTCCTAGCAACCCTGTACACACCCACATAGATGTCTACAAGCCTATGAATTATTCTCTGTAAATAAAAACTTATATCCATTTCCCTCAATGTTCATAATTCTCCTGAGGGTGAGGAAGCTCCCTCTCGATCTGTTCAAACAAAATGCCCAGAAACCATCTGGTAGGTAAGGAGTTCACCTGGCTCTGGTGTGGGGTCTGTCTCTTTCCCTCTGTTGTCCCACAGGTCAGTCCAGTTGTTCAGGTCCTAACAAGAAAGCCCAGGTTTGTCCTGATTTTAAAACACATCGCACTTCTGATGACTCTCCTGTTACCCACATCCATGGAGATAGATTATTTATTATATAATTAACCAAACTAATGTCAAATGCCCAAGTTGCAATACCGCACATCCTAGGGTGTGTTCATGCAATTCAATGGAGGAGAAGGTCTTTCAGAGACAGATGGACCTGAAATGATAAATATGTGGGTAAAGACTCTGGACTTGAGTGTCATTGTCCAGCCATGTTTCACAGGTGTGACTTGTCAGGGAAGGACCAGAGTTCCTTGTGCTCTCAGAGGAGAGGGGTCACACAGGTCCTCTCTGGTTCCCAGGAAAGGTAATCGCACTAATCTTTATGATCTCCATGAGACTATCCTCCAGTGCTGACCTGTTATAGAGTTTTTGTCTGAAGTTGTCACTGCAATCCCTGATCCACATATTTTCATTCAGAAGTGTTTAGAGGCCAGGACACATCTTCAAGGTCACACATTGAGAAGGATGGAGATATGTCTCACTACCTTCTCCTGAGATCTCAGACAGAATCCCAAATTTCAAAAGGACACAGAAGGACAGCTCTCAGGTGCTTTTTAAAATGACCCACTTCCAGGGACAGGGAGCTTCCCTCTAACCATGATGGGTGTTCTGAACTACAATAAACACTGGATGGATCCAGGATTGTTTGAAGTCACTGTCATTATTACATTCAGCTGTTGTTTCAATGTGTCTGAAGTAGTAAATGACAATTTAGATGACCTGGGTGTGTGGTTGGTTTTATATGAATCTTTAAGGGTTGAACAGTATTGACCCTATTCCACAATCTGTCCTTGATCCATGATCACACTCATCTCTCAGACAAGCTCCTTCAGCACATCTCTTTACCTGGAAGAAGAGCACTCTGGGCTTGGCGAGGGGAGGCCCCAAGAAGAGAACTGAGTTCTCAAAGGGCACAGCCAGCATTCTACTCCCAGGGTGAGCCCAAAAGACCGGCGCCTCTCTCATCCCTTTTCACTGCTCCGTACAAAGGCACCACCCACATGCAAATCCTCACTTAGGCGCCCACAGGAAGCCACAACACATTTCCTTAAATTCAGGTCCAACTCATAAGGGAAATGCTTTCTGAGAGTCATGGACCTCCTGTGCAAGAACATGAAGCACCTGTGGTTTTTCCTCCTGCTGGTGGCAGCTCCCAGATGTGAGTGTCTCAGGGATCCAGACGTGAAGATATGGGAAGTGCCTCTGATCCCAGGGCTCACCGTGGGTTTTTCTGTTCACAGGGGTCCTGTCCCAGGTGCAGCTGCAGGAGTCGGGCCCAGGACTGGTGAAGCCTTCGGAGACCCTGTCCCTCACCTGCACTGTCTCTGGTTACTCCATCAGCAGTGGTTACTACTGGGGCTGGATCCGGCAGCCCCCAGGGAAGGGGCTGGAGTGGATTGGGAGTATCTATCATAGTGGGAGCACCTACTACAACCCGTCCCTCAAGAGTCGAGTCACCATATCAGTAGACACGTCCAAGAACCAGTTCTCCCTGAAGCTGAGCTCTGTGACCGCCGCAGACACGGCCGTGTATTACTGTGCGAGAGACACAGTGAGGGGAGGTGAGTGTGAGCCCAGACACAAACCTCCCTGCAGGGAGGCTGAGGGGACCGGCGCAGGTGCAGCTCACGGCCAGCAGGGGGCGCGCGGAGCTCACGGAATACAAGGCCGGGTCAGGAGCAGGTGCAGGGTGAGCGGGGCTTGCTCATCTTCTCAGAGATCATCATCTCCCTCCTCGCCAGCACCTCAGCTTTCCGTAGAGGTCCTCTTTCTTTATTGTCTGTGGTTCTACTTCCTCACATCCTTGTGCCAGGAAAGAAAGGAGTAAGGCAAATTTTCCTGTTACAATTGAAGTTTCACCAATTACTAAAAACTTTCCTGCAAGTACCTGCACAGCCCATTATACCTTATTTATATATATATATTCTAATGCTTCTCACCATCTCTTGATTTGTGTCATCAATTTAATTGTGCCCTTTTTGAAATTCATATGCTGAAACTTTAAATCCAATGGATCTATATCGGAATTTTAATGGTATAATTAACGTTAAATGTGGTCATAAGTGAGACCCTAATGCAATAGACCTGTTGTCTTTATAAGAAGAGGAAGAGACACCAGAGACCTCTCACTTCTCACATGCACACAGAGAAGAGGCCACGTGGAGACATAGTGCACTAGAAGGTGGGCCTCTGCAAGCCAGGAAGAAGCCGCACCAAGAACCAACCCTGCCAGCACCTTGATCTTCTACATTCAGACTGCAGAATTGTAAGAAAATCAATATTTGTTGTTTAAGCCACCCACTCCTTTTGTCTTCTTACGAAGACCCAGACAGGCTAATACCACACAACTCTGTTAGCTCCATCTCCTGGAGGGAGAAGCAGCCCCCTGAGGCTGGGCACATCGCTCAGATTTTCACATGAATTAGGCAAAAACAGTAGCTCTCATATAAAAACTGTCACGTCCCTGTTGGGACAAGGTCTTTTAAACAAACCCTGGGGCTTTGTCACAAATGTTGCATTTTATCCTTTATTAGGACTTAACTAATTGACAATGAGTACCAGCTGGATGGAAACTGACCACTGACCATCTTCTGCTGTCTCCTTATTATATCACAGAAAACCACAGCAACATTACTCTATGTCTTCAACTTTCTAAATTTGTACTGAATCTATTGCTAAATGAGGAGCTACATGGGGTCTGAGTTTTGTTATCTTCTTCCCAGTCTTCCCCAATTACCAAGCACAGAAGATACTTTCAGTGAAATTTAGCTGTCAATGCCCCCAACACCACATCATGTTTTAAGGTCCAAGGACTTTCTTTGGGGGGCTATTGAAAACACTTTTGAATGGAAAATCCTAAAGCATACAACAGCTGAAAGAATGGCCCCTGTGCACGTGAAGGCTGAAGGGATGGATGATAGGGTACGTTCCTCCAAGGTGTTCCTGGGCATGTGATGGTTGGATACCTCATGCATACGAAAACAAGGACTGAACTGAGATAGAAACAAGGGCCATATCCTATAGGAAAACAAGAAAAAAACGGGCATCCCTGAAGAGAGTTAATTAGACTTGGTGGGTTTAAGATGAATTTTTTTCCAAAGTTTTTTAATGTTCTAAGCTAAATATGAATATTTTCAATAAACTGCAAATTAAAAGGAGAATGAATTTAGAAGTTTAGACAGAAAAAAGCCATGAGGGTGTAGAAAGCAAATCCACACAAAACTGTCACATGGCAGAGGCCAGAATGGAGCTGATGCAGCTATATCATTATTCTGCAGACCTAGTTGAGACCCTTTGGTGTTTAAGGCAGGTCCAGCAGTGAAGAACTCCTTTATTTTTTGTCTGGCAAAGTTCTAATCTAATCTTCATTTCTGAAAAGGATTTACATGGTAAAGATTCGTCTTGGCAG